>NC_000009.12:103523582-103675097 GCF_000001405.40 Homo sapiens
CTTGTACTGATTATGTTTGTTACCACAAAAACAAGTTCATAAACCCTTTGCACTATTTCTTAGTCAAATATTATTATATCTTGCTGGCTCATTCCTTACATATTCTCTTGGCCTACATTTGTGACTTACTTTGTACTTATCATGAGAATTCAGGAGCATTAAGTCAGAAAGAGAATAAACTAAAATGAACACCTACCACCTTACAGGGGGTTACTATTATTATCTTCATTTTACAGATAAGGACACTAATACACCATGGGATTCAACTTGTATCCCAGGAGCTGACTGTGTGTCTCCAAAAAGCATGCCATTAACTAATAGGCTATTATATCTCGGTCTCCACATATACATGTGAGGTTTCTCTTAAAGTTTGTTATAATTTTATTTGTATAAGATGTGGGGTAAGAGCCAGTGGGAGGCTTACTGTGTGATCTGCCCTGATCTCTAAATTCAGGAGACGCTGTTTACCTTTCCTTTCACTGTCATTTATCTGGATCCAAATAGACATTTGTTAAAGTACAAAGCCTTTGGGTTGCTAAACTGTACATTCTGGTCAGGCTTCCAGTTCTGCTCCCAGGGCCTATATCACTGTGTTAAGATTGGGTTACAAATTTATTAAAATCCAATTTAGTTTTATCCATACCTCTTCACAAAGAGTTTTTTTAAATGTTCTTGTCTTGCCCCAATTTTAAAGACAGATGACTTGTCAAACTTGCAGAAATTGCCAGTATAGATTATTTCATAACCCTAAAGGAAGAAGGAAGAAAAAGCAGGGCAGTCAAAGAACATGAAAATAGCCCTGGATTTGTAGCAAAATGGTCCTTAAGTTTAACTTGGCCTATGCCACTTACCTGCCATTGATTTGACCAAATTTCCTCCTTCTCTCTAAAGAAAAATAGTAGCTTTTTGTACAATATACCTGGTTGCTATGAGGATTAACATCTCTGGGACATAGTAGGTGCTCATGAAATAGCACGCAGTTTAGCAGTGATGGAAATTGATAAATAATTCTCTTGTGGATATCTTTTAATTTTAGAAAGCTGTATGACACATTTTAATATAGTACATTAATTGGCAGGTATCCTAGGAATTTGAAATATAACAATAATATGAAGAAAATTGTAAAGAAAGAAAGTTCTTTGTGACTCTAGAACATTCTAGCTGTAAATAAACTGTGAATACATGTCTATTCATTCTTCTCTCAAATAATTACTAGTTATCTATTCTCAGATAATGTTCTACACGTTGGGGAAATAAAGATGAGTAATTCCAAAAAAGGCTGAATACATGCAATTCAATTCAATTAATTATTTGAAGAAATTAAGAAGAGATCTGAATTTCATTTAGAAGTCTAGTACTTCAAATTCCGAAATTAGAATTATAAAGGAACCATTTTTTCCATCTAGAACAAGTTGGACAATTTGTGTATAAATAGTCTAGAGCCCAGAAATATACATTGTAATTTTATTTATGTTTCAAGCAAATTTAAGAATAAGAATGAGAAGAACAAAGAATAAGATTGGTGCTATTCCCATGGCCAACCATGAAGTTCCAAGGCTAGTATCTTTCAGTTTCATCCTTTCTGGCAGCAAGGCATATATGATTCAAACTGTTTAATGTTAAGAATATTCTAAAACTGATACTTATTATAATATTAAATAGACAATGTTTTGTTCTTTGTAAAGGAAAATAACATGGCATAAGATACTTTATGGAAAGCTCTCCAAATAATTAAGTGGTCAAGTCATCCCTGTTATTGAGTGTAATTATGTTAGGAGGAAACATAATTACAGAACTATAGATTTTTTAATCAACAATATTTAATCTATCAGAAGAAAACCTAATGCTATGACAGATCAATTCTCAGAATATCAATGGACAAGTTAATTGCTCGGTTGACGACAGGATTCATTAGGCAGAAAAGCAATTTCTATGAAGCGTAAAATTTGGGAAACGAACTGTTTAATTTAATGAGCAAAATTGCTGTATAGAACATTCATGACTGATTCTATTATACAAGTACTAAGGTGAACATCAACTCTTATAATTTGTGATAACCACAGAATATCAGTGTATAACTTTCCTTGAAAGCCTTGTTGAAGTATTTTCATAAGTATTCTAGGGGGAAGACATGAAATATTAAAAATAATAGTAATGAGATTAGTAAGCCATCACTCTTCTGAAAGAGCATTCCAATCAATCTTTGGAATGGAGGAACAAGCAATGCTATACTCATTATGCTCATGGAAAATTATGAGACAATGAGCTTAAGCAGCTTGCTCAAGGTCACAAAATAAAATAACTCCTGACACACAAATAGAATCCAATCTTCCAACGTCATGCCCAGAGATCTGTCTACTAATCCCCACCCCCTATAATACATAACTGTAGCTGTTAACTATTCTCAGTATTTATAACTGCTCCTCTGTCAAAGGAGATTATCCTTGTGCTATTATGTTTCAGTAGTATCTTTAAGTAGAATATAAATGTATTCTGTTTAAATCGGAGGATATGTTCCATATTTCCAGCTTGGTCAGTCTGATTTCAAATAAGAGATGAACTACAATATAGCAATTTTGTAAGTAGAAAAAGAGATAGTGCTGCTTTGTTATACCCAGAGTTGGTTTATCTTGTTGTAAATCCCTAGTTGTGTTGCCACAGCTTAATGTGATATTAAACTCCAATTCTTCTTAATATAATCTTTTTTTATACCACTGCATTTTTTTCCCAAGGTCTGCTGAAATTTTTCCGTTTGTTAGATTTTCTAATCATTTGGACTTTAGAAAACCTCAGGATACTCATTGTTAAAGTACAATAGGCTTTATTTGCTTTATCATAGAAGGACAATAGTTAGACTCCAGAGGAAAATGTAACAGAAGAGTACTTTTTATAACTGTCATAGACTTAAATACAAAATTATACATAGTACTTTTGTGCATCTCATTATACCCCAAATAGTAATAAAGGACATAATTACTGCCTAAGTTTTATATCAAGAATTGTTAAACTTACTGGCCCTTGTTTTCTATAAAACAGAGACAGGGTACTTTGTGACTTTCCTTGGAACAGTCTTGCAGTTTCTGGTTTTTTTCTGCACTTCAACAAGAGATATTTCAACAAGAGTAGCCAAAAATTTGGCTACTAACTCAGGTTTGGGTTGCTGTTGTTGTTTTTTAGAGTATAAGAAGAAATACAATATAAAAATTTTCTATAAAATGAAATATTCTGGTTTGCTAATTGGTGGAATATTATTTAGAATGTTAATTTAAGGACTTGCAATGCTGAATTTAAATGCCAGTTTACTCCTTCGTCAAAGGTAAAACGTGTTAACAACAAAATTCTTTAATAAGGCAATAAAATATATAGTTAATGAGAATTTAAGGGATTGAAATCTAAGTAGTTTCAAGTTCTGTAGTCAACCAAATGATAGTGGGATGGAGTCTAACACAGACACTAGCAGAAAAGGAAAGGTAAATGCACATCACATAATATATCTTTTAGCTGACCTGGTTGTCACTGAGAACTTTCTGAAGGCAAAATCTTCGCTATTTCTTTTCAGTATCACAGCTGGAATAACAGCAATAATGGCCACCTAAGAATACCAGGAAAATACAAAATACCAGTTCACTGAGTAACACAAGGAAACAGACCTCTGCAGGTTGGGGGATATCAGTTGCTTTATGAAGGCCTAACCCTGATTCTAGTGGTTAGTCTGCTCTCCTACTCTTGCTGTCCTAGCATTTCCACATGAGAAGGCTCTGCTCTTTGATAACACACATCATGTTTTATCACCTCTCAATCAATATTCTCAAAGTGTAATGGTTTCTAACTGTAGTTGGAAGTCTCCTCTTAACCCCAAAAGCATTAATGTAAATGTCACAACCCTATATTTATAAGTTTGAAAAACACTCTAGCAAATTAATTTTGTGGAATTTCCATTGCCTTAGGTTTCGTATTTCTGTTTTCTCAGCATTTCTGGGAAGAACTGAAAAGGAAATAAACCCCTTTTTATACAGCGTTTTATAAACTCTGAATAACAGAAAAGTCTATATAATAAAGTAAACTGCATATTTAGATGCTTAAAAATGTTAAGTGACTTCAGCCTGCAAAATCTGTTTTCTAAATCCATTGATAGTTTATTTCCATAGTGGAGCAGAAGTGACTTCAATGATAAGTTACTCCAAAAATCAAAGCTTAGGACTTCTCTTTCTTCTTCTCAATATTTTCAAAATCATTTTCTCCCGTCTTGCCTTTAGGTGCTATGTCTTGACTGGTTTTCTTTACTTAACATCTATCTGAGAAAATGAATTATATGGTGGCAATCACTCATCTAACCTATTTCTGATCAAGGCACTATCTTTTTCAAAAAGTCACAAATTAGTAGAAGAGAAATTCAATTTCTTTTTCCATAATTCCTTATGATATGTCTTTCCATTTCTCTTGGATATAGAAAAATAGGAAGTCCCTTTTAATCCTATTTAATCTTCCAGTGTTCTTGTCCTTCAGCCTTCCATTCCTTTTCCTAATGCTCTGCTGTAGAAAAGATGTTATATTATTTATTAAAAAGTACCAATAATAGTCATGTCATGCCTTAATTTTTACCTGTGCACACGACATACATTCTTATCTGATTGTAGAAAAATCATCTCATAATTAAAGGCAACAAATAGTAAATAAATTGTCTTTAAAAGGTAGACATTTTACCACCTAAGTAAATTAGATATAATTATCATCAGAATGAAAAGTAATATGCCCATTTTTATATTTGACCTCAATATCAATTCAAATAGCTTAAGTTATTACAGCAAAACTTAAGGAAGAAGAATACCATTTATTATCTAGTCAACATAAAAAATAGGTGAGCAGCATTTCCTCTTCTAAGACTGCTATTGCTCATGGAATTATTACATTTATTGAGCCAGGATGTATCTTTCCTGTCCTGTTTTCATGAATTATAATAATTAATATTGTTAAAATGTCCCTACTATCTAACGTGATGTTCAGATTCACCGAAATTCCTATGAAAATTCCAATATTTGTCACAAATATAGAAAAATATCCTAAAATGTATATAGAACCACAAAAGACCCTGCATAAACAAAATTATCTTTACCAAAAGGAACAAAGCTTGAGGTATCAGTCTACGGTATTTCAAAATCTATTACAAAATTATAGTAATCAAAGCAGCATGGTACTGGCATAAAAACAGACACATCAACCAATAGAATAGGATAGAAGGCCCAGAAATTAAACCTACACATCTACAGTCAACTGATTTTTGACAAAGGTACAAATAACAAACAACGGGAAGGGCACTCTCTTAAAAAAAATGAGGTTGGGTAAACTGGGTATTCACATATAGATGATGAAAATGGAGCCTTATCTCACTCCTTATACAAAAGTGAATTCAAAACGGACTAAAGAATTGATATAGTTTGCATGTTTGTTCTTTCCAAATCTCATGTTGAAATGTAATTCCCTGTGTTAGAGGTAGGGCCTGGCGGGAGGTGTTTGGGTCATGTGGGTAGATCCCTTGTGAGTGGCTCGTGGCTGTCCTCATGATGAGTGAGTTCTTGTTCCGTATTCCTGAAAGACCTGATTTTTTTAATAAGAATGTGGCACCCCACCCCTGCCTTGTTCGAGCTCTTGCCATGTTATATACCATCTCCCCTTCCCTCCCTCTATGATTGTAAGCTTCCTGTGGCTCTTCCCAGAAGCAGATGCTGGAGTCATGCTTATACAGCATGCAAAACTGTGAGCCAATTAAACCTATTTTACTTATACATTACCCAGTTTGGGGTATTTTTTACAGCAATGTAAAAATGGACTAATAACTTTTAAATATAAGACCTGGAACTATAAAACTATTAGAAGAAAACATAGGAGAAAGGCTTCTTAATATTGGTCTGGGCAGTAATTTCATGAATATAACCTGAAAAGCACAGGCATTGAAAACTGAAATAGATAAATGGGATTGCATCAAACTAAAACTCTTCTGCACAGAAAAGAAAAAGACTTATAGAGTGAAATACAACCCACAGATTGGGATAAAATATTTAACAAGCATAGATCAGATAAGAGGCTAATATTGTGAAATGTACGAGATACTCAAACTACTCAATAAAAATAAAACAAATCACCATATTAATTGGCAAGACATTAATTGGCATTAATGAGTAGACATCCCTCAAAAGAAGACATAAACATGACTAACAGATATATGAAAAAAATGTTAACATCTCTAATCATCAGAGAAATGCAAATTAAAACCACAATGATATACCTATTAGATTGGCTATTATATTAAAGATCAAAGATAACAAGTGGTGGTGGGGATGTGGAGAAAAGGGAACCCTTATACACTGTTGATGGGATTGTAAATTAGTACAGCCATATGGACAATAGTACGGAGGTTTCTCAGAAATCTAAAAATAGAACTGCCATATGATACTCACTACTGGGTATATACCCAAAGGAATTGAGATCAGTATGTCGAAGAGATGTCTGCACTCCCATGTTCATTACAGCTTTATTCACAATAGCCCACATGTGGAAATAACCTAAGTGTTTATTAATGAATGATGATCAGATTTTTGAAGTGTGATAGATGTACAATGAATATTATTCATCTTTTTTAAAAGAGAACATTTTGTTCTTTGTGATAACATGAATAACTTAGAGGGCATTATATTAAGTGAAATAAGCCAGGCACAGAGAGACAAATACTGGGTGATCTCACTTATATGTGGAATCTGAGAAAGTGTACAGTAGAATGATGGTTACCAGAGGCCAAGATGGAGAGTGGATAGGGGCAGAAGAGACATTAGTCAATGGGTACAAACCTTCAGTTAGATAGGAGGAATGTGTAGCATGGTGACTAAAGCTAATAATAATATATCAAATATTTCAAATAGCTAGGAAATGATTTTAAATGTTTTTACCACACAAAATTTGATAACTTGAGGTAATGGATATATTAATTAGCCTGATTTGATCATTCCACAATACCTACATGTATAAAAACATCACATTGTACCCCATAAATGTATACAATTATTATTTGTCAATTAAAAATAAGCCTTTGAAAAGTATTATTTACATTATGCATCCTATAACTTAAATTGCTTTACCATACTTAAATGTTTTTCATATTAGTTATACACAATATAAGTCAGATTATAATATAAACACCATTCAGTGACTTACAAACTATTGTCACTTCATCATCGTGTAGTTTGTACACTAATGGGTCACTAGCAGCCCAGAAATGAAGACAAAATGTATTTTCAGATGTTTTCATGCAACAGGACTGTTCCTCTATTGAGAAGAAAATGACAGTTTCATGGTTTGCAAAAATTATAATTTCAGCAGGAGACCTTCAAGCACCACTCAGAAAGAAATAGATACCTGTCTGTGTCTGTCCAGGATTCCAAATTGGAAGCCACTGATGAAAGAAGCAGAGATGGTTGAATCAGAAAGAGGCAGAAGTTGTGGCCACCAAATGTGGTTTCCAAGAAAAGCAATCATAGTGGAGCAACCTGCGGTTTTAGTCTCCTGTGGTGCCACTGTTTTCCTCAGCAGGCTAGTTTTGCAGCATGACTTTTGCCTCCATGTACTCTTTCTTCTCTTCTGAGACTGTCCCTTGATCTTCCCATGAGTTAAGTGATTTTTAAAAATAAGTCCTTTTAACAAATTTCTTCTCTACTTTGAAAAAGTATTTTTTAATTGTTTACAAACAAAATCACATAGTATAGTTATTAACTACACTCCTTGTGTGTCTATGGTTAATTAGACCAGAAAAGCTAATCCTGAAATGAAAGCCTCAGAACAGCAGAAAATAGTTACTCTGAAATCTCAGACAGTTTTTAATCAGGTTAAGATAAAAAAAAAAAAAAAACTAAGCATCTATCTGTTGAAATTCACCTATCTAAAAGCTAAAATATTTGTGGATATTTCTACTGGACCATTTCAAACTTATTTTGACAAGCTAGGAATAATCTCTCCTTGAATAAAACTCACGAGGGTAAAAACCAGAAAAAAAAAAGATTCAGATGAAGAAACAAATTCTATAGCTCTCAACCTGAAATAATATCTCACATCCCCTGACAACTAGACTAGTGTTTCTCTACTAAAGCATACTGCCTTCCAGCTATTTTAGGGGAGAAATGTGTTCTAGTTAAATTACTGTTCTGGGGAATACTTTGGGAGGTGATCTCTGATCTCTTTTTCTGAAATCAAGAATATTTTTAAATCTTCTGGGAGAATATTGGAAATAATGAGCCCTATTTTAGAGAATAGAAATTGTCACTATGTAAAAGCTACCTCAATAAAGAGAAAGTGAAAAATAAAGGAAGCAGAGGAGGTCCACTTTGGCAATGAATTATTACTTTTTTTTTTTTTAAAGATGAGGGGCATTACTTTATGGGCCATGAAAATGTTTGGATTTTTAAAAAAAATTCTATAGGTATTTCTCCCTTTCAGAAGTTACTAATTTTGCAAAAAAAAAAAAAAAAAAAAACTGTAAACAACCTTTCATTTTAACTAACCATACTACTTAAATACTTAATGTGAAATTTGTTTTTTAATAGAATAACCCACTTTAATAGAATAACCCATTAAGATGCTAATGATCATGTATAGAGAAGTTAACTCCATTTATACCAGTAAAATACACACATTGAATTTGTCTGTGGAGTAAATTAAATACTAAAAGTAAACTTTATTAGCCCTTGCCATATACATCCACAGTAATTTAAGTTATAAAACTGAGTAACTTGACTCTACCTTAAAAACCAATTGTGTCTTTTAAAGTTTATTAGTCTACATATTATTTTTAAAAAACATAGCAGTAACTGAACCAAAGATTTAAAATAATTTCTTATTAATTTCTACCATTTCCCCAAATGCTCAAAAATCAATAAAATATTTTAAAAGTGTTGCAGAAAGGAGAAAAATATATTTATTTGAATATATAAAACCAAAGTTTGTCATTTTGAAAGAAGTAGTTCAAATAAATAGGGCTGCCTCCTCCCATCAAAAGCAAACCTCCTTCAGACAACAGTTCATAAAATGAGCACAGAAGTATTGGATGCAGATGGCAGACTAGAAGCAGCTCATGTGTGCTGCTCTCACGGAGAAGAAACAAAGGGCTAGTGAACACTGAACCTACAAGCCAATTGTCTAAGAAACCACATTGAGATCCATCAAGACAGCAAAGGGACACAGAGGGCAGAGAGGAGCAAAGTTGGGCAGCAGCCTATCTGGGATCAATGTGGAGCCAGAAGAAGCTCCCAAAAACGTGAAACAAGGTTAAGAGTGAGTAAATGAGAACTCCCTGGGGGATTCATACTCTCCACAGGACCTGTGCAAATCTGGGAATGGGAGAAACACCGTGGCACACACACACATCTCCCTTATGTTTCTGAACTGAGGCAGAGAGCCATAGAGACTTTTTGGGTTGGCAACTCTCAAGTGCAAGGGGACTTCTACAAGCCTTGGTCCCTGGAACAGATTGGGACCAGTGCAATAGCCCCAGTAGAGGCTGCAGTTGTGGAGCCTGAGAACAGTAAGATTGCTATAGCTCCCTCATCAGACAAGGGGCTCGGGGCCAGCTTCCAGCTGAGTGGTGAACAGAAGCCTTCTGCCACAGCCTCCTGTTGCCCCAGAAAACACCCAGATGGCAGGATGTATGTCATTCACCCCCACCACTAATAGCCAGGTGGGCCACACCTGCCAGAGCTTCTAGCCCAGTGGTCTCACTTCTGTTGCTCACCCAGACAGCAGAGTGGGCATATTCACCCAATCCTGCCTCTCATAGCCAGATGGGTCACACCTGTTAGAACTTCCAGTCCAGTTATCTCACTACAGCCTGAACTCTGTGGGCAAGTGCAACACCGTGTTCCCTTCCAGAAACACTCAGACAGCATATTAGGCAACCCTCGCCTAACCCCACGTTTCAGTTGAGCGGGACTTCCTGGTTTGGGCAGAGCCCTCATTCTCAGGTTACTGAAACAGATGAGATGCCCAAGTTCACAGGGTGGTAGAAGATACAGCTTGTCTGCCAACCATGATCCCTGCTTGAGGGAACCCTGTAGACCAGAACACCCAACAAAAGAAATGCGTGCATGGAGCCAGTGATCAGAGTGGATTCCTTTAAGTCCAGGAGCAGGCTGGGTGAGGGGATTATCCTCCATCTACACCACAGAGCAATACTGCCAACTGCACCAAAACACAAAAGAGCTATGCAGAAGAGTAATAGACTATCTGCTGGCTAATACTCTTAAACACCATGTATTGGATTATAGCCTAAAATACAACCCCAAATATTTTGCCAGTATACAGTGCAGGCAAAATCTAAGTGCCCTACCCCAGCCAGTGACCCATCCCAGCCAAGACATGTGCACCCCATGCACTGTCATGGCTGCTGGCATGAGTGAGTGAGCATGGAACCCATTGCCACCACCTGATGAAGCGCTTTGGCCAGCACTCTCCTTTGGAGGGATGAGGTCCACAGACTGGGAACACCTAGGCCCCTCCAGCGCAGCAGGTTTCTAACTCTGAGGGGCCAGAGAACCAAGTAAGGACCTTTATACAAGCCCCCTAGAGTTAGAGCACACAGGCAAGGAGTACTGACCTGAGCCCTGATCTGCTGAAATCTTTCAGAATTGAAGCCAGTCTCCTGAACCCTCCTTATACCACAGTCAAACCTCCATGGGCATCAAGGAAGATAAAAGCAAAAAAAAAAAAAAAAAAAAAAATTCCAAAGGACATCAGCTTCAAACATTAAGGGATCGTAAGTCCACACAGATGAGAAAGTGCCAGCACAGAAATCTGGCAGCTCAAGAAGCCAGACTGTCTTCTTACCTCCAAATGACTTCGCTAGTCCCACAATAGTTCTTTACCAGGCTGAAATGGCTGTAATGACAGACATAGAATTCAGAATATGGACAAGAATACAGATTATTAGATTCAGGAGAAAGTCAAAACCCAATCCAAGGACTCTAAGAAATACAATAAAATGATATAGGAGCTGAAAGAGGAAAAGACAATTTTAAGGAAGAACCAAACTGGTTGTGATTGTATTATGAAATTTTTGTAGTGAGTTTTTTAGCTCACTCAATACAAACATTGCATAATACAGTTGAAAGAATTAACAGCAGAATATGTAATACTGAGAAAAGAATCTCAGAGTTTGAAAACTGGATCTCTGAATTATCTCAGACAAAAAAAAATTTTTTAAGTAAAAAGAATGAGCAAAACTCCTGAGATATATGGGATCATATAAAGAGATCAAATTTATGACTTGTTTGTATCCCAATGAGTCATTAAAGGGACTCATTAAAGAGAGTGTGAGAAATTTTCCAAATTGCTCAATTTGGAAAATATAGTCGTGGATATAATCCATGAAAGTTTCCTCACCCTTGCTGGAAAAGTCAATATTCAAATTCAGGAAATGCAGAGGACCCCTGTGAGCTACTATACAGGATGACCATCTCAAAGATATATAGTCATCAGATCTTCCACTGAAATGAAAGAAAAAATATTAAAGGCAACTAGAGAGAAGGGGAGGGTCACTTACAAAAGGAACCTCATCAGGCTAACAGTGGACCTTTCAGCAGAAACTTTACAAGCCAGAAGAGACTGGGGCCTATATTCAGCATTCTTAAAAAATAATAAAAAGAAAAGAAACTCCAATCAATAATTTCAAACCATCAGAACTAAGCTTCATAAGCAAAGCAGAAATAAGATATATTTCAGAGATGCATATGCTAAGGGAATTTGTTATCAGCAAACATACCTTATAAGAGATGGCTCACACCTGTAATCCTAGCACTTTGGGAGGCCAAGGCAGGTGGATCACCTGAGGTCAGGAGTTTTAGACCAGCCTGGCAAACATGGTGAAAACCCATCTCTACTAAAAAAATAAAATAAAATTAGACAGGTGTGGTGGCACATGCCTGTAATCCCAGCTACTCGGGAGGCTGAGGCAGATGAATCACTTGAACCCAGGATGTAGAGATTGCAGTGAGCTGAGATTGTGCCACTGTACTCCAGCCTGGGCAACAGAATAAGACTCTGTCTCAAAAAACAAAAAGAGAGAGAGATCCTCACAGAAGTGCTAAATATAGAAATAAAAGACCATTACCAGCCACCCCAAAACACACTTAAGTACAAAGACCATTGACACCATAAAGCAACTACAAAATCAAGTCTGCATAATAACCAGCTAACAAAATGATGACAAAATCAAATCCTCACATATTAATATTAGCCTGGAATGTAAATAGGCTAAGTACCCCAGTTGAAGTTACAGAGTGGCAAGTTATATAAAGAAGCAAGACTCAATGGTATGCTGTCTTCAAGAGACCCATTGCGGCCAGGCGCGGTGGCTCACGCCTGTAATCCCAGCACTTTGGGAGGCCGAGGCGGGCGGATCACGAGGTCAGGAGATCGAGACCATCCTGGCTAACACGGTGAAACCCCGTCTCTACTAAAAATACAAAAAATTAGCCGGGCGTGGTAGCGGGCGCCTGTAGTCCCAGCTACTCGGGAGGCTGAGGCAGGAGAATGGCGTGAACCTGGGAGGCGGAGCTTGCAGTGAGCTGAGATCGTGCCACTGCACTCCAGCCTGAGCGACAGAGCGAGACTCCGTCTCAAAAAAAAAAAAAAAAAAAAAAAAAAAAAAAAAAAAAAAAAAGAGACCCATTGCACCTGCAGTGACACTCATGGGCTCAAAGTAAAAGGGTGGAGAAAAATGTACCAAGCAAATGGAAAAGAAAAAAAAAGTGGGGGTTGCTATTCTAATTTCTGATGAAACAGACTTTAAACCAACAATGACCAAAAAAAGACAAAGAAGGGCATTACATAATGATAAATGGTTCAATTCAATAAGAAGACTTAACTATCCTAAATATACATGCACCCAACACAGAAGCATCCAGATTCATAAGCAAGTTCTTAGAGACCTTAAAAGAGACTTAGATAACCACACAGTAATAGTGGGTGACTTCAGCATCACACTGACAGTATTAGCTAGATCATCAAGGTAGAAAACTAAGAAAGATATTCAGGACCTGAATTCGACACTTGACCAAAACTAACATACAACTACAGAACTCTTCACCTAAAACGAACAGAATATACATTCTTCCCATCTGCACATGGCACATACTGTAAAATCAAAAACACAATTTGCCATAAAACAAATATCAGTAAATTCAAAAAACTCAAAATCTTACCAACTGCATTCTCACACTTCTGCACAATAAAAATAGAAATCAGTGCTAAGAAGATGGATCAAAACCACACAATAATGAATAGAAATTAAATGACTTGCTCTTGAATGTATTTTTAGCAAAAATTAGAATTAAGACGGAAATCAAGAAATTATTTGAAGCTTATGAGAAAAAAGATACAACCTACCAGATTCTCTAGGACATGGCTAAAGCAGCGTTAAGAGGAAAGTTTAGGGCACTAAACACCCACATCAAAAAGTTAGAAAGATGTCAAGTTAACAATCTAACACCACATGTAGAAGAACTAGAAAAACAAGAGCAAGCAAACCCCAAAACTAGGAGAAGACAAGAAATAACCAAAACCAGAGCTGAACTAAATGAAATTGAGACACAAAAAGCAAACAAAAGATTAACAAAACCAGAAGTTGGTTCTATGAAAGAAGAAATAAGAGATTGATAGACTGCTAACTAGACTATAATTTAAAAAAAATAGGTGAGAAGATCCAAATAAATGCAATAAAAAATGACAAAGAGGACATTACCACTGACACCACAGAAATTAAAAAAAAACCCTCAGAGATTATTATGAACACCTCTATGCACACAAAATAGAAAACCTACAAGAAATGGACAAATTACTGGAGACATACAACCTCTCAAGATTGAACCAGGAAGAAACTGAAACCCTAAGTAGACCAAAAAATGAGCTCTGAAATTGAATCTGTAACAAAAAGGCTTGCAAAGCAGAAAAAGTCCAGGACCAGATGGATTCACAACCAAATTTTACCAGCTGTACAAAGAAGAGCTGGCACCACTAATACTGAAACTGTTCTTAAAAGTTGAGGAGGAGAGACTCCTCCCTAACTCATTCTAGGCCAGCCTCTTTCTGATACCAAAACATGGCAGAGGCACAATGAAAATAGAAGACTTCAGGCTAATATCCTTGATGGACATAGATGCAAAAATCCTCAAAAAAATACTAGCAAATTGAACCAAGCAGCACATCAAAAAGCTAATCTACCACAATCAAGTAGGCATTATCCCTGGATGCAAGTTTGATTCAACATATGCAAATCAATATATAAGATCCATCACATAAAGAGAACTAAAAACAAAAAGCACATGATCATCTCAATAGATGCATAAAATACTTTTGATAAAATTCAACATTCTTTCATGTTAAAAACCCTAAACAAACTAAGCATTGAAAGAACATATCTCAAAATAATGAGAGCCATCTATGACAAACCCACAGCCAACATCATACTGAATGTACAAAAGCTGGAAGCATTTCCCTTGAGAATTGGCCTGAGACAAGGATATCCTCTCTCACCACTCCTATTCAACACAGTATTGGAAGTCCTGGACAGAGCAATCAGGCAAGAGAAAGAAATACAAGACATCAAAATAGGGATAGAGAAAGTCAAACTGTCTCTGTTTGCAGACAGTATGATTTCATATCTGAAAACTCCATAGTCACTGCCCCAAATGCCTAGATCTGATAAACAACTCTGGCAAAGTTTCAGGATATAGAGATACAGAAGCAATGTTTAAATATCAGTAGCATTTCTATATACCAACAAAATCAAATCTGAGTGTCAAATCAAGAATAAAATCTCATTCTAATAGCCACAAAAAATACCTAGGAATACAGCAACTAGGGAGTTTAAGAGCTCTACAATGAGTATTATAAAACGCTACTGAAAGAAATCATAGGTAACACAAACAGATGGAATAACATTCCATGCACATGGACAGGAAAAATCAATATTGTTAAAATGGCCATATTGCCAAAAGCAATTTATATATTTAATTCTATCCCTATCAAACTACTAATAACATTCTTCATGGAATTAGAAAAAACTATTATAAGATTCATGTGGAACCAAAAAATAACCCAAATAGACAAAGCATTCTTAAGCAGTAGGACAAAGCTACCTGACTTCAAACTATACTACAAGGCTACAGTAACCAAAACAGCATGGTGTTGTTACAAAAACAGACACATAAAACAAGTTTCAGTACATTCATAGACTAATGGAACAGGATAGAGAGCCCAAAACTAAACCCACATATCTACACACACCTGATCTTCAACAAAGCAGACAAAAACAAGCAATGGGAAATGGACTTCCTCTTCAATAAATGGTGCTGGGATAACCAGATAGCCATATGCAGAAGATTAAAATTGGACCCCTTCTTTACACTATATACAAAAATCAATTTGTGATAAAGTTTTAAATGTAAAACCAAAAGCCGTAAACACTCTGGTAGAAAACCTAAGTAATACCATTCTGTACATAGAACCTGGCAAAGATTATATGACAAAGACACCAAAAGCACTTGCAACAAAAACAAAAATTGACAAATGGGACCTAATTAAACTAAAGAGCTTCTACACAACATAAGAAACTGTCAACGAAGTAAACACACAACCTACAGAATGGGAGAAAATATCTGCAAACCATACATATGACAGAGGTCTAATGTCTAGAATCTGTAAAGAACTTAAACAAATTAACAAAAAAACCGACACCATTAAAAAGTGGGCAAAGGGTTTGAATAGACATTATCCAAAAGAAGACATTCATGCAGGCAAAAAGAGTATGAAGAAAATGATCATCACTAATCGTTAGAGAAATGTAAATCAAAACCACAATGAGATACCATCTCACAGTAGTCGGAATGGCTATTAGTCAAAAAAGCAAAAAAAGTAACAGAAGCTGGCAGGGTTACAGATAAAGGGGAATGCTTATACACTGCTAGTGGGAATGTAAATTAATATAGCCACTGTGGAAAGCAGTTTGGCGATTTCTGAAAGAACTTGAAACAGAACTACCTTTTGACCCCGTAATTCCATTATTGGGTATATACAAAGAGGAATATCAATCATTCTACCATAAAGACACATGCACACTTATGTTCATCACAGCACTATTCACTATAGCAAAGACATGGAATCAACCTAGATGCCCATGGACTGGATAAAGAAAATGTGACACATATACACCAAGGACTATTATACAGCTGAAAAAGGAAGAGATCATGTCCACTGCAGCAACATGGATGGAACTGGAGGCTATTATCCTACGTGAACTAATGCAGGAACTGAAAACCAGATACCACATGTTCTCACTTATAAGCGGGAGCTAAACATTGCTACACATGGGCACAAAGAAGGAGCTACTGGAGGGTGGAGGGTGGGAAGAGCATGAGGACTGAAAACTACCTATCAGGTACAATGCTTACTGGGTGAGGAATTAATCTGCACACCAAACCCCCGTGACATGCAATTTACCTATGTAACAAACCTGCACCTGTCCTACCCAAACTAAGATAAAAGTTTTAAAAAGTGGTCCTGGAAGAGTGTGTCTAAATATTTATTTAGTTCTATAACTAAACTGGCAGTATAAGAATACCTGAAGACAATTTTGGATGAAATTAAAGAACAAGTGATGTCTTATATTTGATTTCATAATATATTAGATATATAAGTATACATATAAAGTTGCTAGAAGAGTTTTTCATGTAGTAGAACTTTCTATTCCTTCATCTTGTTGAAAATTGTTACCTAAAATTGAATCTATGATATGATTTAACAGTAAACCATAGAAATACCATTTTCTTTTCGTAACATCTGCTCTTCAGGGAACTCGTGTTAATGATGGTTAAAGAGTGGGTAATATTTTATGGTAACACAAGGCACTTGCCAATTTTATGTTCTTCTTTGTTATCTTGTTACATGAACACCTGTGTTTTTACTTTTTCAAGCTTTGCTTTGTGTAGGGAGTGAGAATGGGACTGCCTTATTATCTTAGAGTTAAACTAAATGCGGTAGTTATGATTTGAAGAAGAAAGATTGTGACATGTAGCATAAGCGAGTCTGTTAGCAATAAGATGTTTTATTGATATGCTAAAGTGATTTTTGTTTTAAAAAACTGGATTTTGCCTCTGTTTTCCTTTATATTTCCTTGAAAGCCATTGTATTCACCCCTTTCCACCCCCAAACATACTATTCTGCAGCCACATGAACATGTACTCAGTTCTTTTCACATCTTATGTTTTCTCTTACTTCCAGGCATCCAGGCATGTTACTCCCTGTGTTTATGTCTTTATTATGACTTATTTTATCTGGCTAATTCCTATTTATACCTCAGACTCAAATTCAATGTCATTTTCAACAGGAGGCTTTCATAATTGCAAAGCTTTTGCCATTCCTCCATTCATGAAATTTCAATATATGCCTTTCCTACATGTTCTCATTTCCTGTATTATCTACATTGGGTTCAGTTATTGACAACATTAAATATACGTGTATGTTTATCTTTATCTCTGTCTAGATTTCAAAGGCGCGGGAATTGTGTATGTCATGTGTGCCTCATAATTTCTGTGTCTAGCATGGGACCTGACACATAATCATCCTCAATATATTATTGCTATGGGCAGTCTTTAAAGTGGTTCTTACATCCGTGGTCAAAAAACAGACCATGGTCAAAGACAGACCATTACCGAAGTGTCACACAAAATAAGAAAACTGGAAGGAGCAAAGTACAGTATTGAATTTGGGGAACAGGACAGATAGAATAAAGCTGAGTAAAAGTAAAGTGATGAATCCAAAGGGTTGAGGAAGACTGATGTTCTATGTTCATGCAGTGATACTGATTGGAACATTTAAATTTTCATGGATGTTCATCTTGAGATTTCATGGTACCCTGTGATCTAAAGACATATCATAGACTTGAAAAGAAAAATGTTAATAAAAATATTATTTGAGTATGATATTATTAAATGAAATGAGCATTTTCCACAGTTACCTGATTTAGTAACCTCACTGTAGTTAGGAAAAAGGACTCAATGAAGTTAAAAAAAAACTCACCAGAAGCCTCCAAGCTTTACAATTCAGTTAAGTTCACCTAAATCAATGATATTGATGCCATGTTGTCCCCAAGGCAACAATAGGCTATGCAGAATTCATCATAACAGATAAGTATAAAGAACTAATTGATAGACTTTGATAAGTTTTCCTTTAAATTTTTTTTTTTCTGTGTTGGATGTCCCTTACACTTGACCAAGTGTTATCCTCAACTTCAATGATACAAGTTCAGGTATTTACCAGTAATAAATCACAAAGAGCATCACTTACCAAGCATTTGACTTCTAAAGAGAGTCCCTATTGTTTCTTCTCTAAAATTTCTCTCAGGCTCTCATTTATTAAATCTAGCCTCTGGGCTTAAACTACAATTACTATGTTCATAGGTCATCAGGGTTAGAGTAATCATATAAAAGAAAGACATTCTGAAATAAAGCAAACTACATTGCACAGATAACTATGTCTCCCAGGCTAGAGTGCAGTGGTATGATCTCGGCTCACTGCAACCTCTGCCTCCCAGATTCAAGCGATCCTCTTCCCTCTGCCTCCTGAGTAGCTGCACCAACACATCTGGCTAATTTTTTTTTTTTTTTTGTATTTTTAGTAGAGACGGGGTTTCACCATGTTGGCCAGGCTGGTCTTGAACTCCTAACCTCAGGTGACCCACCCGCCTCGGCCTCCCAAAGTGCTGGGATTATAGGCATGCCATAGACCCCAGCCTTTTTTAGCCCTTTAAATATGCCATCCCACTTTCTTCTAGAAGGCCTCTAGATGATCAGAGTTTCCTCATGAGTAATCAGCTGTTAATCTTACTGAGGATTCCTTGTATGTATGACAGGGTGTGTCACTTCTTTCTTTCAAGATTCTTTATCTTTAGCTTTTTACCACTTGATTATGATGTGTCTATGTGTAGATCTCTTTGGGTTTATTTTATTTGAGGTTCCAGATGTGTAGATGAATATTTTCTCTTCAAATCTGGGATTTTTTTAGGTATTATTTCCTCCATTTTTTTCCTTTTACTATTTTCTTTTTTTCTAAAAGTCCTATTATGTGTATTTTGAAAGACTTGATGGTACCCACAGATATTTGAGGCTCTGTTCATTTTTCTTCATTCTACTCTTTCGACTTGGTAATCACTATTGACCAGCTTTCAAGTTCACTGATTTTTTTCTTCTGCCTGTTCATATCTGTGGCCATACCCCTCTAGTGAATATTTCATTTTAGTTATTATACCTTTCAACTCCATAGTTTATATTTAGTGGTTTCTATCTCTTTATTGGAATTCTCTGTTTGATAAGATATAATTTCTACATTTTCTTCTTTGAACTTATTTATAATACCTAATTGAAAGTTTTTGTGTAGTAAGTTCTGTGGTGATGTTTCTACAAGAATGGTTTCAATTGATTTCTATTTTTCCATGTGTATGGACCATACCATTTTATTTCTTTGCATATCTTACAAGTGTTTTTTTTTGAAAACTGGACATTTAAAACACACAATGTGGCAAATCTAGAAATCGAATTTTCCCTTCCCCCAGGGTTTGTTTTTGTTGTCACTTATTATAGTTCTTATTGTTTGCTTATTTAATGATTTTTCTGAGCAAATTTTGTAAAGACTGTGTTCTTGGCTGTGGGTGGATACTGAAATCTATATATACTCCATTAGCTTGACAGCTAATAATTGGGTAATTATTTACTTAAACACAGAAAACCAAAAATATTTTCAGTCTTTGCAAAGGGGCTCTTGGTGGACGTGCTTGTTGGAGCACACCTTCAATACTCAGCCATGCAGTTTAAACCTCTACCATTGCCTTTATTTTCTTCTTGTACACAGCTTTAAGTTCAGCCAGAGGCTTGAGATATTAGGGTCTTCCAAAGGCTTTCCTGAGGATGTGCACACCACTATGCATGAATATGGTCTTCTAAATTTCCAAGAATGTGTCAGAGTTTTTCAGTGCCCTTACAGATGTCTCATTCTTCAACTTTTTCTTTTAAGCTTTTTGGTTGGTTTATTGTTCGCCTCAATTGTTATATATCACTCCAGGCAGGCAGAAGTATGTTAAAAACTTTCCTGTAAATGTTTACAAAATGATACTTTCTTTCCCCCTCTACCCCCAAGAGTGGCTTTTAGCATTATATGAATTTTAAGTCAGGTGAAATAATGACAAACCTTTTTTCTCTCCAGGAAATTACCAGATAGGTTAAATAATGGCTGCTCCTTGGGAATAAGGCTTTGAAACAGATCCAACTTTATTCTCCTCTCTCTGGTGCTGGGATAGGTATTGCTATTTTAGAAGACTGCTGAGCTGGGGAGTAGGGGTGGGACTAATGTAAATTAAAAAGCCACAAAGCTCACTGTTCTCACCAAGATCCATTCATTTTTCTTGAATAAGTGCTCCTAGGTTACTGCAAGCTTTTGTTTAATTTTGAGTTTTGAAAATTTGATTCTGATATTTTCCTTCAGTTGTTCTGTTATTTTTTGGGGGGGAGGAGCAATATTTTAGAAGTCCTTATTCTTCTTTTTTTTTTTATGCTGACATCCTGAGATCCCTTCTTCCTTCCTTAATTCTCTCTGTTACTTTTCTGAGTAGTCATACTATTTGCTTATTATTGTTAGTATCATGAAAATACCAAGCCCTTCTATTGGATATCACCAAATTTTGATTTCATTAAACAATGACATTAGGCATGAACTTTGTGAATAAATACTTAAATAATAAATACATAAGCGAATGAAGTAAGTCCCCTTGGGCAGAGTTGTAGAATTTCCATTCTTATGACCTACCTGTCTCTTTCTGGGCATAACCTCTGCACCACTGCACCACTGCTGTGGTAGGGGACAGCATGCCAATTTTCCAGGAGTAACACCTTTATTCCATGAGTGGGCACTCATACTGAGATGAATAGTAGCTTCCAGTCTTCTTAGCTTGCTCCATAAGGGTAGAGTCTTCATCCTATGAGTGAGCTGGGGTGGGACAGTTGAGACATGGAATTCTTGGCATATCACACCTAAAGCGTAGTCCTTACTTACATATGGAAGCTGGGTAGGCTAAGGGACCTTATTCTCTCAGACGTACCTACTGGGAATAGGGCTTCTGAAACACAGGGCTTTGAGATGGTATTTGATGAACTGTCTGTCCCAGGTGGAGCCATAGTCCTATACTAGGAGCTAAAGTAAGAAGGAGTTTCTGCTTTCTTGTTTGCACTCACCCAGAGCACAGTGTCTACATAAGAGTTTCCATCACATAAAGCTGTGGAGGGGGTGGGAGCAAATTGTGGCTCAAATGCCACAGATTCTCAATGTTCTTAATGATATTTCATAGATATTCTTGAATAAATGTTCCTCCACTGGTTATATGCCCTTAGGACAATCTCCAGAGTCTAAATGGTTATTTTATATCATTTTAAAAAGTTAAATAGTTATTTCTGTAGGGAGAGAGCCCATTGAGTTTTTCACAATGCCATTCTGCAAGAAGATGACTTTTAAGAAAAGTATTTTAAACCTTTCAAGGCTCCCATTTTCTTTCATATTTTTCTCTTAGTGCCTTTATCAGCAAGGAGACAGCAAAATTAGATTTGGGGGCTTGAAAGAGGTAAATGGTCATGTCAGCAAACTGACATTTATGTAGCATTTTTAAAGTAATTTTTTAAAGTCTCCCTTTATTCCTAAAGCATTTTCTGATTCATCTGGATACTGTTTAATACATTCAACTCCATCTGAATCTCTTTCTTCTCCACTGGACTTTACGCTATTTTAAGACGGAGATCATATGTCATTTATCTTTGTATGTGACTCAGCACCAAATATAGTGCCTAATAGAGTGCCTGCTGTTAAATAGGAGCTTAAGAGATGAAAGAAGAAAAACAAATTAAAAAGTGAATACATAAATAAATGAATGATGTAGTAGCATCAAATGGAAAGACTGTAGGATTTTGAATTAGAAAGACTTGAATTCAAATCTTCAGTCTTTCTTTCTTTTAATATAACCTTTGAATTCTTGTCTTAGCTCTATGTGCTTTAATGTCTGCATCTATAATATGAAACTAATAATATTTACCTTAGATGGTATTTGTGTAAACTTATAAAATAACACATATAAAATCCTAATATACTGCATATAACCACAGTGATCTCAATAATATAATTTATATGATTAATACATTTCTATTTTACTGCTTAATAATAAGCATTTTGAAAATGGTCAGCATCAATTTATATACTGTCATAAACTATTTGAAGTAAGTGTTATAACAATAGCCAGTTCAATGATCTCAGGACCTAAGGAATTTAAAAGAGAATAGATACAAATATAAGAAGTTCACAAGAATAAAGACAAAAATAGGAGAGAGAAAGTGAGAGAAGAAATAGAGAGGAGAGAAATGCAAATTAATTTCTTTCTTATTCTGTCTTGTAACTATGTCTTCTCTCTTCTTTCTCTATAATAAATTAATTAATTTTAAACCAGAAGATTCAGATAATGAATAATATATTCAATATTCTTGAGCAAGAGAAAAAACATATCCCTTATATCCCAGTAAAGGCAACTGGAAGTCATTTGCAAACTGTTAGCTCTAAATTCGGAGGGGCATTACATCCTAGAAAATCAGAATAACAACAAAATAAGGGATAAAGAATAACCTTGTTGAAACCGTGACAAAGGCAATTGATAGAATTCTTTTTAAAAGATTGCAATTTTCTATTTAAAGTCGCATCAACACTCACATCTGAAAAAAGACAGAAGTTTCCTGAGCTGCTCATGGACTCACCCTGGTTTTCTTCAAGTCTATGTCCGTTTCATTACATACCCACACAACACTGATTCCCTTTTCATTTGATGCTCCTTTATTTAATCTCCTGCTTCTAGCAACAGACAAATTTATTTTTATTACTTTTTTTTTTTTTTGGTTCTTGTGTTTTTTTTAAAGAGACAGGATCTCTCTCTGTCACCCAGTCTGGAGTAGGTGATCCTAGCTCCCTACAACCTTGACCTCTTCGGCTCAAGTGATTCTCCGACTTCCCCAATCCTTAGTAGCTGGGACCACAGGCATGCATGCACCACCATGCCTGGCTAACTTTTTTTTTTTTAATGTAGAGATGACGTCTTGCTATGTTGCCTAAGCTTATTTTTATTACATTTAAATATACAGAGAAAATGTAGCTCTTTATTTTCTAAAGCTATACTGATATATTCCCCCATTAGCTGTTTTACAATGCTGGGTAGTGATACTAATTTAGGTTTTCCAAGTAACAATATCTCAGTGCCTTCTACCATTCAGGTAATTAAAATATTTGTAGTTTAAACCTTCAGTATTTTCAAAGTTAACTTCTTGTCAGAGCTAGTTTAGTTGTTTTCAAATAACACAGTCCCTCCAGGTATATGATCTCTCTCTGTCTCTTTTTTTTAAATTTGGGCTCCGTTTACTATTTCTTACCCAAATAGTGTCTCAGTCTTTGAGAGAGGTTTATAGTAGTGGAGTAAGACAGCACCTCATGTGTTAGGCTGTACCCTATAGGTTCCCTTAGGTGTTACTTAAAGATTGATTAGGATGGTCTTCTCCCTAAGCTGGTGCAGCTGAGGGACAACAGGTACCATCACTTGGTATTTGCTGTTGAAGCCTGCAGCTAGTATAAATCAGTCCAGGTCTTTCTTACTTTCATTAGAGCCCAATACCTTTCCCTGGCTGGTCTTGTTGACCTCAGCTATTTGTGCTGCTAAAACATACATAAAGGACTAGCCATAATGCTCATATAATCCCAGCCCAAGATTTCTAACCTGAAGACCTCAGCTACGAGTGGTCTGATCCTTACTCTTTTATGTGATTATATTCTAGCAAACGTCTTAGACATATTTTCAGATAACTTTTAAAATGTGTATTTCACGAGCATATAGAAATTTCCAGATTTAGCAAACACTAAATAGAAACAATAATGCCTTAGGAAAACTAAACTCAGTCTCCCCTTCCATTGAATTATGCTTTCCTTATGAATTTATATTTATGTTTTAAACACTACTTTGGAAATATAATGTTACTACATTGAGAACTTCCAGAAAGCAGGGCAATATCTCTTCCATCTTTAGATTTTTCACATTCATTTGTATATTTTTAAAGTTGTCTTTCCTTCCAGGTTTCAAGCATAAATTGAAGAGGAGGAAAAAATTACCTTGGTATTTAACTACCATTCTGTCTTCCTTTGTTTTACTTTTTATCTCCATAATCTGACAGATATTTAAGAGGTGGTCTTTGTACTTTCTCTTTTTCTTTCTGTAATTTTTTGCTACTTTGGGGAGTATCTTAAACACCATGATCTGAGTCATCCATTCTTATTTCTTATTGTAAAAGTACTATATAGTATGTAGTTGGAAAATCTCATATTTCTCTTTACAAAACCTAGTTTTCAAGGTATTCTCTTAATGAAGAATCCAATTTTAGGTATCAGAAGCTGAAAACTAATAGTTCTAGTTGAATCTCTAGTGAAACAAAACCCATCCCTATCCATAAGACATGTATTCTTTGGATGTATTAGAGAGAATGTCATGAATACAGAAATTCAAAAGAGACAGGAATATTTATATTTTTGAAAATATTTGTCAACCATGCTACACACACACAAAGAGAGAGGGAGAGAGGGAGAGAGAGGGAGGAAGGGTGGGAGAGGGAGAGAAAGAGAGGGAGAGTGGGAGGGGGAGAGAGAGAGAGAGAAACAATATATGCTTGATTTTTTTAGAACAAATACTCTTTCCATATTAATACTTATACTTGATTTTCTAGTTTTGTCCCTTTACGCTCACTAAAATGTTATACTCAGACTCACTCCTAAGTATCTCTCAAAGTAGTTATCACCTTCTTACACAAACCTCAATGCTACTATCTAGCTTTATCTTCTCACAACCAACACCCTTAGATCATATCACTTGATGGGGCTTGGTCAGACTAACCCAAGCTCACTTCTTAAAGGATGCATTCCAAAAATAGTATGGGTCAAATTATCCTGAGATAGTTGGATCGATAATACAGAAGGAACTGAACATATAACATAATATGATTTAAGCAATAAAAGACCTGAGAAGTTTTAATTGGTTTTCATGAATATAAAGGGATTTCTAAGATATATTAATAATAGGAATTAAAATTCTGAATTGTTACTGACTCAGACATTATTTTCCATGAGTCTGCAGCTCTGTTAAAGAGCAATACAGGATAAATATGTGGATGAATATCAAATGAACAAAAGAGTACAGTATCGTGGAGAATATGGTACTCAGGGAATAAATTTTAGAACCTTAGGGCTAGTTTTTTACAAAGGTGTACTTATCTGTTCTGAGGCATTGCATAAGAGCTGGCATCCTGTTTCCGTAGTCTTAATAAGATTTATTAACATATTCAAGAAGTATATATCAAATACTTAAAATATATCAGGAGTGAGCACATTCCAAATAGGAGAGTAAGAACATTTGAAAATCCACTCCTCCATAAGATCAATGAGAACACAGGAAAGAAATGGAAAACCCAATATTGTTAGAATGCTACGAATTAACCAAAGTTTTGCAAAAACCCAAGGAACATTTATTCAAGAGCAAATGGTTGAATCTTGGTAAGAACAAATGAAATTCACGGTATTTCACCTGTGCTATTATTGTGCTATTATTCCAATCTCCTCAATCTCATGATACTCAAAAAAACAACAATCTTGAAACTACAGAAGCTATTTTTTAAGATCAGCCTAGTAGACACTGGAAAGAGCAGTCACTCAAAAGCCCAGTTCCCAGATTTTGTCATAATTTGACCTATCTGGCAGTTCCCTAGGGTCCTCCGCTCACATAGCTTATTCATATCTTACATGACAAAATTCACTTCCTGTGACGAGTTTTTTACGCTATGCATTTGCTGAAACAAGTAGAAATGAATATTTAACATCATAGCTACCGGAAACAAGGATACAGAGTAAACAAGAAAGTGATTAAAACATTTAAAAAGAAAAGCTGAGGAAACAGATATCTATAGAAGGCTTTGAAAAGCTCCAACAGATTCCTCAGAAATTAGATGTCCATGCACATGAGCAGGGATTCAAAAATACCTAGGAAAGTCCTGGCATGGTCCTAATATTTCATCTGTCTCTGATCTTGAGAGTTTCTGAAAGTAGAAATTGAAATCTAAGACAGAGTTATAAACTGCCTAAGTATTGAAGGAGTTCTCTAATATGGACTAAGAACCTATTAGTGAAGGATGAGAGATTTGTTGGTTCAAGGCATTTAAGGCATTTATCTTCTCACAACCAACACCTTTAGCTCATATCACTTGATGGGGCTTGGTCAGACTTACCCCTGTCCAATCCCTAACTGACCACAAAACTAGCCAAGCAGAGACTGTAGTGACCACAAATAAAAAAGACTTTGCAGAATTAGTTAATGAAAGTCATTAAACAAACAAAACAAAAATGAAACCAGCAGAAAGCAACAACATAATATCCAGTGAAATACACTTTTCAAATTATATCATTTAAAAAACACAGTTTTAAAAAATTTTAAAGTGAGTCATGCAAAGAAACAGGAAATATAATCCATACATGGAGTAAAATTATTTAATAGAAAGTGCCCCTTGGGAGGCTGAGGCAGGAGAATGGCGTGAACCCAGGAGGCGGAGCTTGCAGTAAGCCAAGATCGCGCCACTGCACTCAAGCCTGGGCTACAGGCTTGAGCGAGACTCCGTCTCAAAAAAAAAAAAAAAAAAAAAAAGGGTCCCTTGGAAGCCCAGATGTTGTACTTATAAAATTTTACTTATCAAATTTTAAATTATAAAAATTTAAATTTGATTGTAAATAAGATTTTAAAATGAATGTATTGGAAGGATGTTTCCCCAGATAGAATTATTAAAGAGATATAGTCATAAAAAAATAGAAATTCTGGAATTGGACTGTAAAATAACTGATATGAAAAATTCACTAATGGAGCTCAATGGCAGATTTGAGCAAACAGAAGAAATAATCTTGAACTTGAATATAGGTCAATTGAGGTCATACAGTCTGAAGAGCAGAATGAAGAAAAAATAAGAGTATTCGAGACATATGAGACACCATTGAGCATCTCAACAGACACATAATGAAAGTCTCAGAAGAAAAGGAGAGAGAGAAAGCGACAGAAAAAGTACTTGAATTAATGGTTCCTCAAAACTTCCAACATTTGGTAAAAAACATTTGTGTGCCCTTCCAAGAAGCACAATAAACTCCAAATAGAATACAACCAAAGAAATCCACACACAGATATATCATTAACAAATTGTCAATAGCCAAAGGTAGAGAATTTTGAAAGTAGGAAGATAGAAGTAACTTGTTACATACAAGGAAAGTGTAATAAGATGAATAGATTTTTAAAATCAGATATCATGAAGTACAAAAGGCTGAAGAATTACCTATTTAAAATGTTCAAAGAAAATGACAGTAAACCAATAATTCTAAGCCCAGCAAAGTTATTCTTCAGCAACAAAAGAGACTGCTTGGAGAAATGGATAATACTAGAACTGGGTCAATAACTATACAAGATGAAGCTAAATAAAACATTTTGTAATGTCAGAGAGCCGAGAAGTGTTTAACACACACACACACACACCACACACACACACACACACGACGATTATGCCAAAGGGACATGGGAGTCAACTGAAAAAGTTCCCAATAGCCAAAGTTGGAACAATTTGAGTGACAAAACAACTAAATTAGTATTGAATTATCAAATAAATAAACTTTAAGACATAATGATAGAAAAATGATTAAAAAATAAGTAAATGGGAAGTATTAAATATCTTATGCACTACATTTCCACGTAATTTAGGTAGATACTCCATTCTCACAGAAGTAGAGCCTAATTTCCCACTCCCTAATTATAGGCTACACATACAGACTTATTTCCAAAGAGTATAGAAAGGTAGAATGTTGGGGTGAAGTAACTTCATAGTGGAGAAGTTTGACAAATACCCTCAGCCACATGATTATTGTTAACATTAATAGTGGTAAGTCATGTTAATAATAGCTTCCCTTGATAAAATGTGATAAAAATGACATTTTATCTCTGTTCTTTTCTGCCCCCAATCTGTGATTCCATTACAATCATGTGAATAACATTATAAACATCCCAATTGGAGCACATTTTAGAAGTGTACTTTACTACTATCAGATAGTAATATGAAAAACTGGGTGTAAGTATATGGGAAATTTATGTACCATCTTCACATTTTTCTATAAATCTACAACTGTTATAAAATTCATATTTTAAAGGGAAAAATTAAGATAATTTCATATACACAAATCTAAAAGAATTTGTCCATGGCAGACTTTCCCTACAATAAATATTAAAGAGACAACTTCAGGGTAAAATGAAGGATGCTAGACAGTAACTTGTATCCATAGAAAATAAATTAATACCACTGGTAAAAATGTAAACTACATACATAAATTTAAAGATAATTAAGTACTTTTTTGTAATTCATTTCTTTTCTTATCAGATTAAAATCAATCTGCATAAACCAATAATTATAAAATTATGTTGATGGGCTGATAATGAATAAGTATATAATTTCCATGACAATAATAAAAAAGAAGGATTGAAGTTCTTGCTACAATTAAAATGAAGTTGGTATTAACTAAAACTAGATTGTTATAAATTATTAATGGTAATCTCCATGGCAATCATTAAAATATATGGTAAAAGAAATGACAGGAGAATTAAAATGGCACACTGAAAAAAAACATGTTTAACTAAAAGAAGGCAGTAATGGGCATATAGGAAAACAAAAAAGACATGAGGCCAAAAGTAAAACAGCAAATAGCCAATGTAATTGATACTTTATTAATGATTACAGCAAATGGATTAAACCTTCTAATCAAAAGTCAGTCATTGGCTGACTAGATTAAGAAAAAAAGATGCTCCAACTGTATCCTGGCTATAATTTATGCACTTAAGATACAAAGACACAAATAAGTTAAAAGTAATGGGATGAGAAATATACACCCTGCAAACAATAACCAAAGAGAGTTAACAGGATTATACTAATATCAGACCCAATAAACTTTAAGACAAAAATTTTTATTAGATGCAAAGAAGGATATTTAATAATAAATAAATAAATTTATCTGGAAGTCATAATATCTAAAGAAATATATGTGTACCTATCAAAGCCACAAAATATGTGAGGAAAACACTGACAGAATTGAAGAGAGAAATAGGTGATTGTGCAATAATAGTTGGAGATTTTAATACCCTACTTTCAATAACAGATAGGACACCTAGCCAGAAAATCAGTAACAGAATGGAAGACGTTAACATTATAAATGAACTAGACCTAACATATAGAACACTTTACCCAACAACACCTAATACACATTATTCTCAGGTGTACATGGAATTTTCTATATATCATACATTAAGCCATAAACAATTCACAGTAAACGTAAACGAATTCAAATCATAAAACTTATTTTTCTGACCCAGGTAGATAAAATTAGAAATAATAGAAGAATACTTAAGAAATTTACTAATATGACAAAATTAATCAAAACACTGATGAATAATGAGTCAAAGAAGAAATTATAAGGGAAATTAGAAAATATTTTGAGATAAATGAAAGTAATAAAAAACCCAAAGCTTTTGAGAGGCAATTAAAGCAGTTCTCACAGAGATATTTGTAGCTCTGAATGTCTATATCAAAAAAGAATAAATACTTCAAATCAATAAGTTAACTTTCCACATTAAAAGTTACAAAAGTAGAAAATGGGGGATTTGGGAAAGATGGCTAACTAGATACAGCAAAGTGAACAGCCACTACCGAGGGTAGAGGCTGGGACAACTGGCACACTCCTAACAGATCTTCAGAGGAAAAGCGCTAAGAGTGGATGGAGGGAATACACAGAAGCTTAGATGAAGGGGAAAGAAGATGGGAACCCTGCACTGGGCTAGTGAACACCAGGACTCATTCCTGGGCCCCAGTTACTCTGAGGGAATGAATGAGTTGAACTGGCAAGGAGCAACCTCCTCTCACCATGGGCCTCTGGAGTCTTGGCAGGAGGGGACCCCTCAACCATCACAGACACTTGAGTTGGCAGGAAGTGAGTGATAGGGGCAGGAAGTGAGTGGTAGGGGCAGCACACCAGCCTATGCAGAGCCCAAAGAGTTTGGTACAAGATCATCTACAGCAGAGCACGGGCAGTGACACCCATCCCTCCAGGTTCGACTTGTTCCCATGGGAGACTTTGGCCCTAGAGGAACTGTAAGACTTGAACTCTGCCAGGAAGTCTTACTTATCAGATCAGATGGGTCCAGTCCTACCTGAGCACCCCTTGGTCTGCTCGCCTCTCCCAGGACCCCAGTCTGGCCATGCCTCCTTGAAGTGCAGCCTCAGGTGCCCTGGGAGCTCACATCATAGCTCCTGCACTGGTAGATCATGCCTGACCAATAGGGAGCTCCAGTGGGTCAGCCCACATGGCCATCCATCAGCCTGCCCACTTCCTTTCCCCACTGCTTCTTCTGGGCCCATGGCCACATTCCACATTGCTTTGCAATTTCATGTGGATTTTGCCTTCCCTGCCCTGCCAGCACGTTTGTGCACATATCCCCTGCCTGCTGGCGGGAGTGCACATGAACCCTTCTCCCCTGCCATATGGCCATTGCAGTTGAAGCTTTGGGGGCACAGAGCCCTCCAGCACCATCCTCACCAGCATCCTACCCCTATGCCAACACTGCCACCAGAGTGAAAGTAGGCATGGAGAACAGTGGACTCTCCCTCACCCTGAGCAACCACAGAGTGTGCACAGAGACCTGCACCCGCCCATGCCCTGCTTCTTTGCTAACACCACCACCAGCACAATCAGGTACACAGTCACCAGCAGGGAGCCCCTATTCTCCCCAACTGTGCTGCCCCTGCCACTTCTGTGAATGCCCACAGGAATGCAGAAACTCTGGCACCAGCTAGCACTCTGCTGGCAGCTGGCAATCATGCACTCATTGCACTGCTGCTGCCACCACCACTGCTGCTGGCATGTGCAAACAAGGACAGATCCCATTGCCATGTCCATATGGCAGTGTTATGAGAGCACCTTGCTGCTACCAACGCAGTATATTCCTAACCTTGAGGAGCAAGAGAACAAAGTTGGGGCCCGATACAATTCCCCCAGAGTTCGTGCACACAGTCCAGGAGTTGGAAGGTAAGTCTTGGCCCCCTAATAACTTCCAGAAACAAAGTCAGTCAACTGAACCCACCTTTTACCACAATCAAACCCCCAAGGTCATCCAATAGGATAAAAGAAAATAAAACTTATCCAAGGACACCAACTTCAAAATGGAAAGAATACCAGCTCACAAAGATAAGAAAGAACCAGTGCAATAATTCTGACAACTAAAAAGCCAGAGTGCTATCTTTCCTCCAAGTGACTGTGCTACCTCTTCAGCAAGGGTTCTAAACCAGGCTGAGATGGCTGAAATGACAGAAATAGAATTCAGAATATGGATAGGAATGAAGATCATTGAGATGTAGGAGTATTTTGAAACCCAATCCAAGGAAGCTGAGAATCACAATAAAACAATATGGTAGCTGACAGACAAAATAGCCAACATAAAAAAGAACATAACTTACCTGAGCTGAAAAACACACTACAAAAATTTCATAATGTAATCACAAATGTTAACAGCAGAATAAACCAAGCTGAGAAAAGAATCTCAGAGCTTGAAGATGGGCATTCTGAAATAACACAGTGAGAAAGAATAGAGAAAAAAGAATGAAAAGGAATGAGCAAAACCTCTGAGAAATATGGAATTATGTAAAGAGACCAAATCTATGACTCATTGGTATCCCTGAGAAAGATGAGGAGAATGGAAGCAACTTGAAAAACATATTTCAGTATATTATCCATGAGAACTTCCCCAACCTAAGTAGAGAAGCCAACATTTCAATTCAGGAAATACAGAAAATTCTAGTAAGATGCTTTCCAGGAAGATCATCCCCAAATACATAATCATCAGGTTCCCAAAGTTGAAATGAAAAAAAGAAATGTTAAAGGCAGCTATAGAGAAAGGTTAGGTCACCTGCAAAGGGAAGTCCATCAGACTACATCAGACCTCTCATCAGGAACCCTACAATCAAGAAGAGTTTGGGAGCCAATATTCAGCAGTCTTAAAGAAAAGAAATTCCAAACAAGAATTTCATAGGTGGCCAAACTAAGCTTCATAAGCAAAGGAGAAATAAGATCCTTTTCAGAGAAGCAAATGCTGAGTTAATTTGTTACCACCAGACCTACTTTACAACAGCTCCTAAAGGAAGCACTAAATATGGAAAAGACCATTACCAGCCACTACAAAAACATATTTAAGTACACAGACTAATGACACTATAAAGCAACCACACAAACAATTCTGCATAACAGCCAGCTAACATCATGATGACAAGATCAAATCCACATATATCAATACTAACCTTGAATGTAAACAGGCTAAGTGTCTCAATTAAAAGGCACAGACTGGCAAGCTGGATAAAAAACGAAGACCCAAGGTTATGCTGTCTCTGAGAGACTCATCTCACATATAATGACACCCATATGTTGAAAATAAAGGGATGAAAAAAAGGTACCAAACAAATGGAAAACAGATAAAAGTAGGGGTTGCAATTCTAATTTCAGACAAAACAGTCTTTAAACCAACAAATATAAAAAAAGACAAAGAAGGACATTGCATTATGGTAAAGGGTTCAATTCAATAACAAGACCTAACTATCCTAAATAAATATGCACCCTATACAGGAGCATCCAGATTCATAAAGCAAGAACTTCAAAGAGACTTAGACTCCTACACAATGATAGTGGGAGACTTAAGCACTACACTAATAGTATCAGACAGATAATTAAGGCAGAGAATTAACAAAGATATTCAGGACCTAAACCCAACACTGGATTAAATGGACCTGATAGACATCTACAGAATTCTCCACCCCAAAGCAAGAGAATATACATTCTTCTCACTGCCACATGGCAAATACTCTAAAATTAACCACATAATTAGACACAAAACAGTCTTCAGCAAATGCTTAAGAACTAAAATCATAAAAACCGCTTTCTCAGACCACAGCACAAACAAATTATACATTGAGACTGAGAAATTTGCTCAAAACCATACAATAACATGGAAATTAAGTAACCTGCTCCTGAATGACTTCCGGGTAAATAATGAAATTAAGGTAGAAATCAAGGTGTTCTTTGAAACTAAACTTCAGAAATAAGAACTTCAGAACCAAGAGAAAACCAACCCCAAAGCTAAAAGAAGACAAGAAATAACCAAAATCAGAGCTGAACTTAAGAAGACTGAGACATAAATAACCATTTAAAAGATTGATGAATCTGGGAGTTAGTTTTTTGAAAAAAATTAATAAAATAGACCACTAGCTAGACTAATGGAGAAGAAAAGAGACAATATCTAAATAAACATAATTAGAAATGACAATGAGGATATTACCACTGATATAACCACCAAAGAATATTATGAACACTGCTATGCACATGAACTAGAAAATTTAGAAGAAATAAATGAATTCCTGAACACACACACCCTACCCGGGCTGAACCAGGAAGAAATTGGATATCTGAAAAGACCAATAACAAGCTCCAAAATTAAATAAGTAATAAATAGCTTACCAACCAAAAAAAAAAAAAAAAAAAAGAATTCAGGACCAAACAAATTCACAGCCAAATTCTCCAAGAGGTACAAAGAGGAGCTGGTACCATTTCTACTGAAACTATTCCAAAAATTTGAGGAGAAGGGATTCCTGCCTAACTTACTCTATGAGACCAGCATCATCCTCATACCAAAACCTGGCAGAGACATAACAAAGAAAGAAAACTTCAGACCAATATCTTTGATGAACACTGATGCAAAAATCTGCAATAAAATACTGACAAGCCAAATCCAGGAGCACATCAAAAAGCTCATTTACCACAGTCAAGTAGGCTTTATCCCTGGGATGCAAGATTGGTTCAATATCTGCAAATCAATAAATGTGATTAATCACATAAACAGAACTAAAGAGGAAAATCACATGTTTATCTCAATAAACACAGAAAATGGTTTCAATAAAATTTAACACCATGTTAAAAACTCTCAATAAACTAAATATTGAAGTTGTGTAGCATGATGCCTCCAGCTTTGTTATTTTTGCTTAGGATTGCCTTAGGTATTTGGGCTCCTTTGTTGGTTCCATATGAATTTTAAAATAGCTTTTTCTAGTTATTTTAAAATAGTTTTTTCTAGTTATGTGAGGAATGTAATTGGTAGCTTGAAAATACCTCAAAATAATAAGAGTCATCTATGACAAACCCATAGCCAATGTCTCACTGAATGGACAAAAGCTGGAAGCATTCCCTTTGAAAACTGCCATAAGACAAGGATGTCCCATCTCAACACTCCTATTCAACATGAAATTGAAAGTCCTGGCCAGATCAATCAGGCAGGGGAAAGAAATAAAGGGCACCCAAATAGGAAAAGAGGAAGTCAAAGTATCCCTGTTTGCAGACTATGATTCTATATAGAATCTAGAAAACCCCATAGTCTTGGCCCAAAAGCTCCTTAAGCTGATAAACAACTTCAGCAATATCTCAGGATACAAAATCAGTGTACAAAAATCACTAGCATTCCCATAAACAAAAACCCATCAAGCCGAGAGCCAAATTAGGAATTTAATCCTATTTACAATTGCCACAAAAAGAATAAACTATCTCACAATACAGCTAACCAGGAAGGTGAAAGATCTCTATAAGGAGAGCTACAAAACACTGCTGAGAGAAATTAGAGATGGCATAAACAAATGGAAAAATCTTCCATGCTCATGGATATGAATTAATATTGTTAAAATTGCCACATTCCCCAAAGCAATTTATAGATTCAATGCTATTTATATCAAGCTACCAATTACATTCCTCACATAACTAGAAAAAACTATTGTAAAATAACTAGAAAAAACTATTTTAAAATTCATATGGAACCATCAAAAGAGCCCAAATAGCTAAGGCAATCCTAAGCAAAAATAGCAAAGCTGGAGGCATCATGCTATACAACTTCAAACTATACTACAGGACTATAGTAACCAAAACAGCAAAACAGGACTATAGTAACCAAAACAGACACATAGACCAATGGAACAGAATAGAGAGCCCAGAAATAAAAACACACACCAACAACAATCTGATCTTTGACAGAGTGACGAAAAAAGAAAACACGGTAAATATATGCCATAGAATACTATGCAACCATAAAAAAGAATGAGATCATGTCCTTTGTAGGAACATGGATGGAGCTGGAGGCCATTATACGTAGCAAACTAATGCAGGAACAGAAAACCAAATAACACATCTTCTCACTTATAAGTTTTAGTTAAATAATAAGAACACATAGACACATATAGGGGAACAACAGATATAGAGACCTACTGAAGGGTGAAGGGTGGAAGAAGGGAGAGGATCAGAAAAAATAACTGATTACTAGGCTTAGGACCTGGGTAATGTAATAATCTGTACAACAAACCCCCATGACATGATTTTACCTATATAACTAACTTGCACATTAACTTGAACTTAAAAGTTAAAAAATATTATAAAATATAATTTTTAAATTATTTATAAAAAGTAGGAAATCAAGAGCAACCTAAATCAAAGACTAGCAGAAGAAATTTATTAATATCAGAAGGAAAATAGATGGAAAGAAATATAGGAAAACAATAAAGAAAATCAACACAACCAAATTTGAATTCATAGATCCATTTAAGGAGAATTGACATTTTAACTATATTTTCTCCAATCCATAACCCCATCATACATTTTCATTTTTATAGGTCTGTTTTTATTCATCTGTGTTTTTTAGTTTTCAGCAACATATCTTGCGAATATTGTGTTGGATTTATACCTAGGTATTTTAAGTCTTTTGCAGCTATTTTAAATAGTTCTTAAAAATTCAATTTCTAGTTTTTCATTGCTAATATAAAATTACTTTTGTATATGAACCTTGTATCCTATTAACTTAATAAGCTCATTTATTAGTTCTAGTGTTCTATTGGTGACTTTTTATTTTTATGTAGAAAACACTGCCATGTTGAAGAGAGACAGCATTATTATTTGAGTTTTTCTTGATGTTAAGATGAGATTGATGCACTTTCTGGCTTTTTGCATCCTAGCCAGAAAGGGAGCTTTATTTCCATTATTTTTATATGTTATTTATTTTTGTAAGTATATTAAAACTCAAGACCATGATAGTTTCATCTTACCGTATTCATTAGCTATTTCTATAATATTAGAGTTGTCTAGAGAAACAGAACCTACAGGACATATATATGAAAAGATTTATTATCAGCAATTGGCTCACATAACTAAGGAGGTTAAAAGTTCCACGATCTGTCGCCTGCAAGCTGGAGACCCATAAAAGCTGATGGTGAAATTCAGTCTGAGCCAAAGGCCTGAGAACAAGAAAAGCCAACAGTAGATATTTCAGTCTGGGTCTGAAGGGCAGAGAACCAAGAGTACAGAAGGCAGGGGAATATCCATGCCCCAACTCAAGCAAACAGATGAATTCCTCTGCCTTTTGTGCTATTCAGGCCCTTACTGGATTAGATGATTTCCACTTACAATGGGGAGGGCAATCTACTTTACAAAGTCCACCTATTCAAATGTTCGTATGATCGAGAAACACCCTTATAGACACGTAGAAATAATGCTTAAAATGTGCATTCCTTGGCCAGTCAAGTTGACACATAAAAATAAGCATTACAGTGTTCAAAATGAGAATTTTAAGGAATCATTACACAGATTGTATGCAGTATTCTCTGTTCCTATCTCAAAAAGAGTTAATGGTAGATTGAATTTTCTTGAATTTTCTTCTTTAAGAAGCCTTTTTTACTCAATAACGTACAAAAATTTAGTCACTGAGTGGAGTCCAAAACTTTCTTGAAAAGAATAGTAGTAAGAGGCATGTTTCCAGAAATGGGAGACTTTACAATTGTGTTCATCTCTGCGAGGAGTAATGAGAAGGGACCACAAATAAAGCAGTGGTCTTGGCAAAGGAAAAGACATCTCCAGTTGAAGGAAATCTGTGTGCCTAGGTTGTAAGATGATGATGAATTAAAGCAAATTTGATGTGGTTCAAGAGGTTGAATGAGAGTAATTGGGGGAATAGAGATCTATAATTACTTTCTTAATGCTGTGCCTTGTACACAGCCAATTTGGATGCAGCTTTACTCTCTTTAATTAGCAAATTGGTTTTATAATTCAATAAAGGGCATTTAAAAAATTAAAGTGTATGTCTCAAAATGTGCAACCTCTGAACACTAAATATGTCACTTCCACAAGGCGGATAATGTGTAGAAAAAGGAGTGTGTGGATGTGTGTGTAATGGAAACCTGGTTAATAATAGAAAACTTCATCCAAGAGCAGGGAAAGCTATATGGGCATTCAGTAAAATGTTCTGAACTATTTCTGTTAATTTTCTATACTATGGAAGAATGAGAGGGAGTGGATAATAGCTATTTAGATATAGGTAGCCAGGCATTATTATTTATTTATTTATTTATTTATATTTTTGAGACCGAGTCTCCCTCTGTCGCCCAGGCTGGAGTGCAGTGGCGCGATCTGGGCTCACTGCAAGCTCCGCCTCCCAGGTTCACACCATTCTCCTGTCTCAGCCTCCCGAGGAGCAGCTGGGACTACAGGCGCCCGCCACTATGACAGGCTAATTTTTTGTTGTTGTTGTTGTTGTTTGTTTGTTTTTGTTTGTTTGTTTGTTTTTGAGACGGAGTCTTGCTCTGTCACCCAAGCTGGAGTGCAGTGGCACCATCTCGGCTCACTGCAAGCTCCGCCTCCCAGGTTCACGCCATTCTCCTGCCTCAGCCTCCCGAGTAGCTGGGACTACAGGCGCCCGCCACCACGCCCGGCTAATTTTTTGTATTTTTAGTAGAGACGGGGTTTCACCGTGTTAGGCAGGATGGTCTCCACCTCCTGACCTCGTGATACACCCACCTCGGCCTCCCAAAGTGCTGCGATTACAGGCATGAGCCTTTCAGATATCATTCTGCAGACAAATAGTCTTACCTATATTATCTAAATTCAACTAGAATGACTACCTGTCTTCCTTTTTCTTTCTACTGTCTCTGCCATCATTTCATGCAACAAATGTTTGAAGTCAGCTTTACAAGAGTAGGCATTTTCTGATCTACATGCCTGTGTGTTTCACTGAACACCCACAACCATATGGTATCAAGTGGCCTCATACATCGAATATGCCAGCTGACTATCAGATTGTTGATATTTGTGATTTTGCCTCAGTTAATACGCTGCTTTCCTCAGGATTCAAAGTTTGAGAAATATTCTTCAATTATTATCTAGCCACATGATATTTAGCATGTCATTTTTCAAGTTCTTAGCTTCAGTTTTCTGAGGTCCTAGTACTCTAAGATAATGGAGGGGTTAAAATAAGTTTCCAAAAATGTCTTCAGCAAATGTGACATTAATAAACATTGAACTTTATGAATCAGTAGGTATTATATATTAAGAGAAGTCACGTTAAAGCTACTGAGAAGAGTAGGGGAGAGGAGCGGTCACCATATTACAGAGGGAGAAGCAGTGGTTTTGGTGTCAAGCTCGCTGTAATTTAAATCCTTTCCTATTACTCTGCCACAGAGGCCTCCATTTCCTATATGTAAAATGGAGGAAAAAGTAAAAATGAAACTCTACATGCGTTAAAAATATTAATCTCATATCCTTACTAGGATGTCCAAGTTGTTTATATATTTTCATAGACATCTCATGTATCTGAATATTATTTGTCACCTTTGGCACATATGTTTCATTTATTTTCTTATTTTTCTGCATTAAATCGTTTTCATTTAATTTCATTTACTGTTCCATCTCCTTTTACGTACGCTAATTCAAATACTCTTTGGAAGAATTTGGAGATAGGGTGAATGAATCAGATAACAAGATATTAATTTCATACATAATCCAAAATGCAATGTAGATACCTAACATTGATCTGTTTTTAGAATGAGCAATTTTTTAAATTTGGAATGTTGAAATTTAGTGTTTAATAATTAGAGCAAGGTAATTATGTTAAATGTGTAGAAATACCTTAATTTTATATATGCATATATTTTAATGGAAAACTCTAAAAAATGCACATGTTGGATGTTTTAAGGGAAAAAATAGTTTTGTTCAGGTATGTTTAACATCCTAAAATATCCAGGTAGTTACCTTCAACACATAATTTCTCTTAATCTAAATTGCCGTGGAATCTGTTTCTGAAATTATACAACAGATAGATATGGGACTGAAATAAAACCCTAAAAAGATTGCTCAGTGATACTAAATAACATAAAAGCTGTAAGTTCTTGTTTCACTTTCATTTAAAATCACAGTTTGATTCTCTAGTTTCGTTCCTGTGGCTGATATTTCCTTGGAGACAGATATCTACTCTTCCCTAGGCTATTTTGCTCTGCCTCCTAACAAACTATCTGATTTCAGGTGTCACTTAGTAAATATAAATATCATTTTAAATGTTTTTAAATACCACTTAGCCATGTTTAGTTTATCAGAAACTATTTGGAGAGGCATCAGGGATTCAACTGCTTTCCTCTCAGGCTATATTTAACATAATTAAAATAAAAAGCAATGAAATAAAAGTGGAAAAAATCCAACATCTTAGTCTTGATAATTTATTAATTAGCTATGTTTTAATAAAATGTTCTGACCTTTACATATCTTATTTGTAAAATAAAAGTCTGACTAATTAATATCTAACCTATTGCTTCATTTTGTTACTTCGTAAATGTGGCCTGTCAACATTTCTCATTTAGGGTAAATTACCAAAGGCCAAGGGAACTGCATGATGGCTTTTATAAACTGTGTGCTATATACCTGCATGGTTATAAAATACACACACACAAATGCACACATACATGCACCCATTTTACTTACTGTTTATCAATACCATATAAAAAAGCATCGTGCATAAATGTAATATTGCCCTGCTTATGTCTTACTCCATTCTGCAATTTGTAGACATTCCTCTCTGACAGAGTTGCCAAGGCTTTTCAAACACACTTCAGTAGCTACAGTGGTCACTTGCTAAGGAATTCCCTTCTACATTGAGGAGCTTGCTCTGCTAACTGACAAGAGAACTAATGAAACAAGAAGATTGAAATACATGGTGAAGAAGGCTTATTTCCTCAAATAATGACTGCCTTATCAGATAACCAATCAGATTTTAAACGCAATACCAGAGGCCTCATTTTACCCTTCTTCTTACTTGACAATGTAGAATTTGTCTCCTACTGGTCCTCTTCATTTTGAAGGTCCTGTGCCCTTAGATTTCACAACTGAACTCTATCCTAGCCTACTCATCTCTTTCTGAAAATTCTCTAATACTGGATGAGCCCAGTATCCTCAGTGACATATACATACATATGTATGCGTGTGTATATATACACACAAACATGTTTATTATATATATGTACATATAAATATACATATATGTAAACATACAGAGGCATATACACAGAGGCATATCTGTGAATATATATATATATATAGTGTGTGTGTGTATATAAAATCTTCCTGAACTTTATTCCGTCTTCAATCTATATCTACAACCCCACATTTACTACTCAGTGAGAAGGGGTTGCCTAATTGGAATCTTATTCAATAGCTGCAACAGATACCACAACCTTAATGAGCTGCTACCTTGTTAGCATTGGCTCCCATAACCTGCTTTTCCCTCTTCTCTAAGTAGTCTGGAATCTGTCACAGTAGTATGCATTAAAAACCTGTTCGTCAATATCAAGACTTTCAACACATCTGCCTCAGTTATTTATTATTAAGCCAGTCTAATATTATTTTGCAAATATAACATGTGTCACATGTTTTTTATTCTCCATTTCCTACCTTAATTTAACACTTTATTTGCTTTGTGGCACTATTAACATAGCTTCCTTAAGATCTTGTTGGCTCTAATTTCTGTTCGACCTCCATCCCCATCTGCCAATGATTCCCCATATTAAGTTGAGATGGTGCTTAGTTTAGCAGTAAGAATTACACTTTGATTTTAGCCACTGTTGTTGGAAATCTTCCTCATGTATTCCTTCAATCAAAGAAATAATGTATTTGGTTCCTGCTGTGCACCAGGCTGTGTACTAGATCGTGGGGATTCAAGAGTGAGCCAGGCAGACACTGTTCCTGCCCATCTGAAGGCTGACATCCTAGGAGGGAAGATGAATAATATACAAGTGAACAAACAGATACAATAATCTCGGATCAGGTGGTAATGGTCGGGGCCTGGTATGATGATCTCAGTAGAGGGACCAGGAAGAGCAGAGAATCCAGGGCAGGGGAAGGCTGAAGCCAAGAGTGTTCAGGAAAAGCCAGGAGAGCAGTGTGGTTTGAACAGGGTGAGGGAGGAGAAGATGGTAGGAGATGGGGTCAAGGGGTGGGCAGGAGTTTGGATTTTATTTGAAGAGCAAGAGAATATGGTGACTAGCTGTACATCCCACTTCATCAAAGCATGCTAAATTTGAACTATGTTGAAGAGTTGAGATTTCTTATTCTTTTTATTTATAATCATTATTATTTTTGAGACAAGAGTTTCACTTTGTCACTCAGGCAGGGGTGCAGTGGCATCATCACCACTCACTGCAACCTCCCCCTCCTAGGTTCAAGCGATTCTTCTGCCTTAGCCTTCTGAGCAGCTGGGACTACAGTTGCCCACCACTGAACCTGGCTAATAGTTTTTAGTAAAGATGGGGTTTCACCATGTTGGTCAGGCTGGTCTTCAACTTCTGACCTCAGGCGATCTGCCTGCTTCAGCCTCTCAAAGTGCTAGAATTTCAGGCATGAGCCACCACTCATGCCTATAATAAGACATATATATATATATATATATATATATATATATATATGATGTATATATAAGACATATATATAAGATATATATATATTATAGAGTAGATATATATGGAATATATATACATATCCATACTGTGTTACCCTAGAATATATATATATGTGTGTGTGTGTGTGTATGTACACATATATGCACTATTTTTATTGGACCTAACCATTTAAACATATTTTTTTCTATAACTAAAACTCAAAACATACACATTCAAATGGCATTTAATGTTTTCCGACTCTTTAAAATTATATCCAGGACTCCTTATGATAATTCAATTTTCTCAAATCTAAATACACAGGCATTTTAATGCAACTTTCCCAGTAATTGATAGAACAAATAGGAAAAAAAATAGTAAGTATATAAATTATATGAAAAATGCAACCAAATTGCTCAAATTAACTTTTAAGTAATAATACACCTAATAGCTGCCAATTACACAATGTATTTAAGTGCACACAGAACTTTTACCAAAAACAAACTTTGTTTGTTTGTTTGTTTAAAAGAAGTACAATCTTATTATAGTGTAACTTTTGACTGAAAAGACATTTAATTAGAAATCAGTAACGGGTATCTAAAAGTTCCCTCATTTGGAAATTAAATGACACACTTCTAAAGATATGAGTCAAAAAAGAAATCACAAAGGTATTAAAAACGTCAAACTGATTATAAAACACAACATAACAAATTACATGAAAACACAACGTAACAAATTACATGAAAGTAGACACAATATTTTGAAATGTGTGAGATATAGAAAGTAGTACTTAGTGCAAAGTTTTTAGATTTTAATATACATATCAGAAAAAAACTGAAATTCAGTTGTCTAAATAGAGGAAAAGTAATGAACATAAGAGTAGACTTAAATGAAATAAATAATACATGAAAAATAAAGAACTCTTAGTAAAATCATAATCCATAGCCAAGAACAATAAAAAAGAACAGATACAAAATTTGCCAGTATCTGAAGTGAAAATGTGTTTGTCACAACAATTTCTCCAGACAATAAAAGAAGATGAAGAAACACTCTGAACAACTTTATGTCAATAAATGCTACAACTTAATATATTAGGTGAAATCCTTGAGAACAGTTTACCACACCTGAAGGTGAAATAGAAAATCTGAATCACTTTGTAGCTACTAAACCCTTTAAATTCATACTTAAAATCGTTCTCACAAATTTTATTTGATAAAAAAGAAAATTTCTGTCATCTTATAAAAACATTTTCAGCAAAGTAAAAAGGCAAGCCATCGAATGAAAATAATTATATCCATTATATATCAAAGTATTTATATTGAGAATATATAAAGAATTCTTATAAATTCATAATAATACAACTTCTCTAATATTGGAAAACCTTTAAGAGACACTCAGCACTTGGAGCTCTAATATATTGCGGATAGGAATATAAACTGGCACAACTGTTTTGACAGTTTGGTAGTTTGTTTTAAAGTTTAAATATGCATGTAACACATAACCCAGAGATTTCGAAAGGAATTTATAAGACACAAGAAAAACATATGTCCACAAAGACTTGCAAACGATTGTTCATAATAGCCTAATGCAAAATAGAAAAAAAAAACTTTGAAAACAATCTAAATATTCACAGAAAGGTGAATTGAAAGACTATTCTGGTTTATTAGTACAATAGAGTAATATATAATAATAAAATGGAGCAAACTATTCATGCATACCACAACACAGATGAATTTACAGACATTATGCTGAGCAAAATAAGCCAGATACAAATCAATGCATACTATATATTTCCATTTCTATAAATTCTAAAATAGAGAAAACTAAGTATCTCTAATCAGTGGTTGCTTGGGGATGGGAAAAATTGCAATAGAAAAAATTTTCTGGGCAGATAGAAATAGTAGGAGAAAGAGAGAAAATTAATACAGGTTGGTTACATATTTCAGGTATACAATCTGAGTAAACACAACAAAAAATGCTCCATAACTTTATTGCTGTAAATATTATTGCATGTGAATTTTAACTCATACATTTGATGTTTAAAATATGAGCTTTCCTTACAAATATAACTTTCTTTTTATAAAATGCACTAAACTAGATGTTTAAAAAAAAAAAAAAAGAAATTCAGGCAGGGCACGGTGGCTCAGGCCTGTAATCCCAGCATTTTGGGAGGCCAAGGTGAGCGGATCACGAGGTCAGGAGTTCGAAACCAGCCTGGTCAACATCGTGAAACCCTGTCTCTACTGAAAAAAAAAAAAAAAAAAAAAACAAAATTAGCTGGGCGTGGTGGTGCGCACCTGTAGTCTCAGCTACTTGGGAGGCTGAGGCAGGACAATCACTTGAAATCAGGAGGCAGAGGTTGCAGTGAGCTGAGATCGCACCATTGCACTCCAGCCTGGGCAAAAAGAGTGAAAGTCCTTCTCAAAAACAAATTACTATAATAATGATTAATATTTTTAGAGAAAATAAATGTAACTCCAATTTCAAAATAAAAGCTGATTAGTCATAAAGATGATGTTGGTATAAACAGTAATCATAACACATGTTTTATGGAAGTCTGCAGATTATGTAGCACTTTTACAGGCATATATTTTATAAAATTCAACAATTACCCCATAAGGAAGTCAGGCTTGGTATTATTCTCAGCATCCTTTCCCTATTAGGAAACAAAGGCAAAATGGTAAATGACTTGCCCAAAATTTTGCAGCAAAAGCTGCTCTCAAATCCACATTGACTCCAGATTCTGTATAAATTCAATTAACGGAATCATTCTTCACGTAAGTAAATTAGTGGTAAACAATATGTTTCATAGCTAGCACTGGACTTTTAATCTATAACTGAAAAATTAGATTTCTAAATCTAATAAGGAAACAAGATGAAGAGAATGTCAAAATTATCTTTAACTGCCATTTCTTATTTCTGGATGATGAGAGATCACCATAAAAAAGTGATTTTAACCTTGGTTGTGTAATGAAATGAAGTAGGGAAATTAAAAGTCTTGACACAGAGGCTGTATCCTTGACCTAATTAGCACCAAGGCTCAGGGTTATCTCTAATTTTCCCAGGTGATATCAATATGCAGTTTCTGTGTGAGCCCCACTGTTACAAAATGATTGGATATTTGACCACACTAGAGCACGTCTGCCTTTCAATTAGAATTTAGAAAGTGCTTCTCAACTTACCATTCCATCTGTACATTGCAACATACCTCCACCCTTAGCTATTTGTACTACTGATCAGTTTGTGGTTTCTGAATTACTGTTGGCCAATTTACTTGTTTATTAGTATTGCTAATAATAATGCTGGTCTCTCTATTCCTTCATAGACAGTTACTTTTTTTTTTTTTTTTTGAGACAAGTTCTGCCTCCATCACCCAGGCTGGAGTGCAGTCGGGCGACCTCGGCTCACTGCAACCTCCACCTCCTGGATTCAAGCAATTCTTCTGCCTCAGCCTCCCCAGCAGCTAGGGCTACAGGCTTGTGCCACCATACCTGGCTAATTTTTGTATTTTTAGTAGAGACGGGGTTTCACTATGTTGGCCAGGCTGCTCTCAAACTCCCGACCTCAGGTGATCCGCCTACCTCTGCCTCCCAAAGTGCTGGGATTACAGGCGTGAGCCACTGCGCCTGGCCCATATACACCACTTCTGATGTAATGACAAATCTTACAAACTGAATCGTTCAGTCCTAGGACTCCGCTCCTCTTTTCACATGGAGCAGCAGATTGGCTTTGGCAGTTCATCTTCTGTACTTAACTGCTTGGTTAGTGCACTCAGTACATGTGTATCTGCTCTGCTTCAGTGTTCAACTCTGCTCTTGGCTTGAGAAATCTGGCCAGCTCTGCAGGTGCTGACAAGGGGTAATGCCCCAATTTTATTCATCTCCTCTTTAGAAAGGGAAGTAAATATTCATAATACATATTATCACGTGTAGCAGAATGGGTCAGGTAAAATGGTGAAAGAAAACATTTTAAATCAAAACAAAAATCTAAAATCCCACAAAAACTTTTTATCCAAAAGCATGGAACATAGGGATATTAAGATCAGAGTCCTACACATAATCTTAATACAAATGTGGCAGATATTTTTGGAGTCTGTTGAACTGGAAGGGATTCTAAGTTTAGTGATATATAAAATCTTTCTCTATTAATGTGAGATTTTTAAACAGGTGCTGGCCAGGCATCATAACGAATCTGCAAGAAAAAAATATTGGAAGCATCCTTTAGAAACAATTCTCAGGAGAGAAATGCCCACATCAAGCAAGATTTAACTTGATACTGAACTCAGAAATAGGCATAATGAGAATAACTGAAACATCATTATCACTTTTCTTATCCCAGTGTTTGTTAGAGAAATGCTATATTGGAATGGTTGATGTTGTTAACCCAATATTATAGGTTCATATTTGCCAAAAATTCAAAAATTGTCCATTTCTGTTCATTTCACCACTACGTGACATTAAAGAGAGAATTCTACCTACACAGACTTGCAAAACAAATTATGAAAATTATTCACTTGGATATTTCCTTTTTGTTTTTGTTGTTTTGTTTTGTTTTTTTGTTTTGAGATTAGATCCAGGTCTGTCGCCAAGGCTGGAGTGCAGGGGCACAATCTCGGCACACTGCAGCCTCTGCCTCCTGGACTCAAGCAATCCTCTCACCTCAGCCTCCCCAGTAGCTGGGACCACAGGCACACGCCACCATGCCTGGCTAATTTTTGTTTTTGTTTTTGTTTTTGTTTTTGTTTTTTGAGACGGAGTTTCACTCTTGTTGCCCAGGCTGGAGGGCAATGGCGCGATCTCGGCTCACCACAACCTCCACCTCCTGGGTTCAAGCAATTCTCCTGCCTCAGCCTCCCGAGTAGCTGGGATTACAGGCATGCACCACCATGCCCGGATAATTTTGTATTTTTAGTAGAGACGGGGTTTCTCCATGTTGGTCAGGTTGGTCTCAAACTCCCGACCTCAGGTGATCTGCCCGCCTCAGCCTCCCAAGTGCTGGGATTATAGGCATGCACCACTGTGCCCGGCCTCCTTTTTCTGTAAGACCCCACAAATACTCATAAGGGCACAAACAATGTGTTTAACTCCATTTCTACATGGGACAACTTTAAATTTTTTTTTGAGACAGAGTTTTGCTCTTGTCACCCAGGCTGGAGTGCGATAGCACAATCTTGGCTCACTGCAACCTCCACTTCCCAGATTTAAGCGATTCTCCTGGCTTAGCCTCCTGAGTAGCTGGGACTACAGATGCACACCACCATGCCCAGTTAATTTTTGTATTTTTGGTAGAGATGGGGTTTCACCATGTTGTCCAGGCTGGTCTCGAACTCCTGAACTCAAGTGATCCACCCGCCTCGGCCTCCCAAAGTGCTGGGATTATAGGCAGGAGCCACCCTACCTAGCAAAATTTCTAAGGCTTAATTTATTGAACCATGTTCTTCACTCAGCTGTCTCTGCTGCACACTCCTCTCCAGCAGTCAGTTCTGTTGTTTATGTGAAAAAAAAATCAGAATTCTACCTCACATACATATATAAAATATATACATATATACGGTATAGATATAGATAGGTGGCAGTTGGAAAACAGAAGGTTTGAGAGTTCTTGAGAACTGAAGTATTTTACAATTTAAATATTCACGAGAGAGCCCTCCTGTTTCCTACATAATTGGCATAACCTGTTTTCGCATTTATATGATTGTCCTTGCCCTAGATTTCATTTACTAATGTTAGAGAATGGTATTTGTGATGAGCAGCCTGCTATTTCTGGTTAAGTTGTATCAGCTAAGGTGGCTTTTAATGTTTTAATTTAAGGAAGTCACAGTCAATAACTTTATAAGTCAGCATATCCTTCTATAAGGGTGATTAAAGAATAAAACACTTCCATTGACTGATGATTTTTTTTGCACTTTAGTAAACCAAATCTTTGGACCTTTGTTTCCACTATTAAGTATTTTAAAGTATACAAAAATATGTTTTGTAATTAAGTTTTAAAATGCATAGACTATTACTAATCACTTAAATGTGACCCAAAAGGTCTTTCAGTGGCTTTTTCTACAAAACAACTCAGAATAACTTCATCTATAATATCTATGCTTGATTTAAGTTCTAAGTTAAGTGAAATGCCTGCTTATGATAACTTCTTTGACCATGAGTAACTGTGAACTAATGCCAATTTTATTTCCTACTTCTGTTTACTACCTAACCTCTCACATAGATAAAAATAAGTGGGAAAAAAAAGCAAATCTAGAAAAGTTATATTTCTAAATTAGCTCCACAAATTCTTATATTTTATATATGCTCACATCTCAAAAAATGTTTTGTTAATCCTTTATCTATAACATACTTCTGATTTTATAGATTGTATTCTTTTATTAAGCAGCTATTCACCACAGAGAGATCATCATAGGTAAGGAATTTGAAAACCAAACAATTCAAATCACATCTTCAAAAATAAATAAAAATAATAACATTCAAAAAGATAAAGTTACACTAACATGCAGTTATAAGATAAACATAATACAGATTTGAACAAATTTGGCTTTGCAATTAAATATATGATGGACTCCAAGACAAAAAAAAAGTTAAATATAAACCAGAGGGAGATATCAATATTTCACCTGCCTAACAAAAGTTGAAAATTATTATAATTAAAGATGCTGAAGAGAATGTAGCACAAGAGAAACTCATTCACTTCTGGTGGGAGTATTAAATCCAACCTCTTTGTGAAACAGACTGTCATTATCAACTCTTATAGAATATATGTATAGTCTATCAGTAAGCAATTTCACTGCTATGAATGTATCACAGAGCAGTGTTCCTCATATTTAATCTATATATTTATTAAGGTTCCTGTTTAAGCTGAGATTCAAATATCCTCTGGATAGATTCTTAGTACATTTGTAACAAGGTCTCAGTGATGCTGATACTTCTACACAGACAACAGAGATGCAAACAAAGCTCTAGAGAAAATAATGCACATTTTGAACAAGGATACATATAAAAATATTTGTCTATCATTTCATAAAAATTATAAAGTAAAATCAACACAAGTGACTATCCAAAGTGAATCAGATAAATTGATGTGTATTCAAACAAATGAATACAGAAAAATAAAAATGAAATTTTGATAACCACATACAAAAACAGTTGCAAAAAAAAGTTTATTCTGTTTATATTGAGGACTTTAAGAGATAGTACTATATTATATGATATAGATATTTCATTCATGTTTTTATAAAAGTATAAATATTCCAAAGAAATCTTTAAAATAAAATTAGGACAATACCTATTTAAATGTTTATAGTAAGAGAAATAATTATGATTAAAATGGGACATGCAAGAAGCTTCTGAAGTTTCAATGTTCCTATTAAACATAATAATTTTAAGCAGTACATTCATGCACTTTTCCTCATTACCTAGGTATGTTTTATTTCACAAAATTAAGAAATTGATAAATTAAATGTTATCAAAGAAGACATAGTAAAACAACAAAAATAAATTTTAAAATATTACATTGAGGATGTGGAGCCTTCCAGTTCCAAAATATTAATGTAGAAGCAAGCTAGTTTCTTTCTACTCCACAGAAAACAAATATACAGCAGCAGTATTATCACCAGCAATATCCAAGAACTCAAATGTAAGGACAGTTCCCAGAAACACAGAGAAGTAAAAATATTTCAAGCAGATGGTAAGAGAACTTGATTTCCATATCCATGATGTGCCTCCCCACCCCCAAACCTGCTCAGCACCAAGCACACAGAAAATTTCCCCCAGAGCATAGATTTTACACTGAAAAGTGAGATCAAGGGAGACAACTGGCTTCCCTACCATCTTTGGTTCCCCGGCATGAGGTGTGTTCCTGCTTCAAGCAATGGGAAGCATCAGGAGTGCCAGAAGAAATAAATATCCTTGAGAATAGCCATAGACAAAGGGGAGGAAGCAGGATTATAATTCTGAGCCTCAGAAACTCTGCTCTGTAACTCAGCCAAAGGAGATGCCAAATCAGAGTGGCTGATTTGCTGTAGCACCTTGCTGTAGGACGGTGGTCCTTGGCCACAAACCACCAGAAAACCTTCCCACATCACTGGGACATGATATCCTTTTCTGGACCTCCCCCATTCAGGAGAGTAGGCATTCTGTTTGTTTATATGAACTGAGGCAAACCTGAGCTTAAAGTTCTGTCTAGTTCATTAAAGGAGGCAGAAACCTAATGGAGGGGAAAAAAAAAGCATTTAAAAAATGTATTATCCTTAGCAAACTAACACAGGAACTGAACACCAAGTATCACATGCTCTCACTTATAAGTGAGAGCTAAATAATGAGAACACATGGACACATAGAGGGGAACAACACACAATGGAGCCTTTGGCAGGGTGGAAGATGGGAGGAGGGAGAGGATCAGAAAAAATAATTAATGGGTTTAATACCTGGGTGGCAAAATAATTTGCACAATAAATCCCCATGACACAACATGCAGTTTCAACAGGGAAATTGCAAAGAATCTCTAAGCAAACATATCCAACAAAAACCAAAACAAGCCAGACAGGAAGACTGGGAAAAACAATTAAATCTTCATTGCAAAGACATAGACATACATCCAAAAGAAACAATAGCAAACAAAAAAAAAAACATGATCTCCTCAAATGCACAAAGCAAGGAATCACTGACTAATCCTGGTAATGTGGCAATATGTGTGAACTCACTGGCCAAGAATTTAAAATAGCAATTTTAAGAAAATTCAGGGATTGCCAAGATAACACAGGAAAGCAATTTTAAAGTTTGTCAGATAAATTTAACAAAGAGATTAGAATACTTTTAAAAAATTAAACAGAAATATTGGAACTGAGAAATACATTTGCTGAACTGAAAAATCACTAGAGGCTCTCAAGTGCAAAATGGATCAAACAGAGCAAAGAATCACTGAGCTCAAAGAGGCTCTTGAAAATGCACAGTTCAAGAAGAAAAAAGAGAAAAGAATAAAAAGGAACAAATATTATCTACAATATACAGGAAATTTTTTCAAAAGACCAGATCTAAGAATTATTGGTGTTCAAGAGAGAGTTGAGCAAAAGTAGGAGATATAAAGTTGATTCAAAGAAATAATAATAGAAAACTTCCCCAAACTTGAGAAACATATAAATATCCAGGTATAGGAACGTTACAGATTTGATTCAAATAATCCTATACCAAGGCATGTAATAATTAAACTCTCAAAGATCAAGAAAGAAGACCCTAAAGGTAGGAAGAGAAAAGAAGCAAATACCATATGAAGGAGCTTCAATATGTCTGGCAAAAGACATCTCAAAAAAACCATACAGGCCAGAAGGGAGGGAGATGACATTATTAAAGTGCTGAAGGGAAAAAAAAAACTTACATACAATACTAAATCTGGCAAAGCTATCCTTCAGATATGAAGGGGAGATAAACTCTTTCCCAAACAAGCTAAAATTGAGAGAATTCACCACAACCAGGCCCATCTTACAAGAACTAACGTGAGTTCCTCAGTCCAGAAGAAAATACATTAATGCGTAAAAAGAAAATATTTGAAGGTCTAAAATCCACTGGTAAAACTAAGTTCAATAACAACCCAGAAGATATGAATACTGTAATTGTCATGTGCAATCTACTCATAACTCTAGTTTGAAGCCCAACATTCATCAAAAACAATAATACCTACAGCAATATATTAAGATATAGATAATATAAAAATATGTATATTGATATATATATATATATCACAACACAAAGTCAAGATAGACTAATGCAATTAAAGCATAGATTTTTTCTAAAATTTGTTTACTTCTTTATTCTTTCTTAGTAAGCTTTCATCTCTTTAAAATAAAGTTTTATATCTACAAAATGTTTTATGTAAGCTGCACAGTAACCACAATGCAAAAACCTATCATAGATTCACTAAAAATAAAGATCAACTATTTTAAAAATACTACCAGAGGAAATAACCACTAAGAAAGAAGGTAAGAAAGGAAGAGATAATTACAAAATAACCAGAAAACAAGCAACAGAATGACAGTTTTAAATCCTTACTTACCAATAATAACAATGAATATAAATGGAACTTGCTTCTCCAATTAAAAGGCATAGAGTGGCTGAATGGATAGACAAAAGATCCAACTATATGCTGCCTACAAGAAACCCACTTTACCGAAAGATACACATAGACTAAAATTGAAGAGGTGGAAAAATATATTCCATGCAACTGGAAACCCAAAAAGGGTAGAAGTCACTATATTTATATAAAATAAAGTTGCCTACAAATGAAAGACTGTACAGAAATACAAATAAAGTCACTATATAATGACAAAGGGCTAAATTCAGCAAAGTGTATAACAATATAACAATTATACATATCTATGCCCCCAACCCTGGAGCTCCCAAGTATATACATGAAACATTAATAAATCTAAAGCAAGAGATAGAATGCAATAAATTAACAGTAGAGGACCTCAACGCTACACTCAGTAATAGGCAGATCATCCAGACAGAAAATAAACAAAGAAACATCAGAGTTAAACTATACACTAGACCAAATAGGCCTATCTGACATCTAAAGAAGTATTCATCCAACTGCTGCAGAATACACATTATTTTTATCATCATGTGAAACATTTTCCAGAATAGACCATATCTTCAGCCACAAAAAAGTGTCAACAAATTCAAAAACTCAAAATCATAGCAAAGATATTTTCTGACCAAAGTGAAATCAAAGGAGAAATCAATAGCAAGAGAATCTGAGAAAACACACAAACACATGGGAATTAAACTACATGCTCCTAAATGACAAATGTCAATGAAGAAATTTTTAAAATCTTGAAATAAATGAAAATGAAAATACAGCATACCAAAATTGATGTAATACAACAAAAACAGTACTAGGAGGAAAGATTATGGCAATAAACAATGACCCTTTTGAAACTAGAAAATCAAGAGTAAGCCAAGCCCCAAATTAATACAAAGAAAAAAGTCACAAAGATTAGAACAGAAATCAATGAAATTAAGACTAGAAAAATACATAAGATTAATAAGCTGCACAAACTAAAAACAAAAGAGAGAAGACACATATACATAAAATCAGAAAAAAATGGAGACCACAGAAATACAAAGAATTATTAGAGAATATTATGAATAACTATACATCAACAAATTGAAAAACCTACAAAAATGGATGAATTTCAGGATACATACAACCTATTAAAACTGAACCATGAAGAAATAGAAAACCTTGACAAACTAATAATGAGTAACAGATTTGAAGTCATAATAAAAAGTCTCCCATTCCAGAAAATCTCAGGACGTGACTGCTTCCTTGTTAAATTCTACCAAACATTTAAAGAAGAACTAATACCAATTATACTAAAATTCTTCAAAAAATTTGAAGAGGAGGGAATACCTCTAAACTCATCCTATTAGGCCAGGATTTTGTTCATACTAAAACCAGTTAAAAAAAAAAACTATAGCCCAGTATCACTGATGTGAATATAGATGCAAAAATCTTCAACAAAATGTTAGCAAACTGAATTCAGCAACACATTAGACAAACCATTTACCATAATCAAGTGGGATTTATCTCAGGGATTCAAGGATGGCTTAACATATACCAATCAATAAGTGTGATGTAACAAATTAACTGAACTAAGAACAAAAATCATATGATCATTTCAATAGATGCTACAAAAGCATTCCACATAATTCAACATCTCTTTATGATAAATAAGAAAACCACAACAAACTAGGCATAGAAGAAACATATCTCAAAATAATAAAAGGCATATATGACAAACTCACAGCTAACACTGTATTAAACGGTGAACATTTAAAAGTCTTTTCTCTAAGATCTGGAACAAGACAAAAATGCCCACTTTCCCCACTTTTATTCAACATAACACTTGAAGTCCTGGCCAGAATATTTAGGCAAGAGAAATAAATAAAAGTCATGCAAACTGGAAATAAAAAAGCCAAATTAACCTTGTTCACAAATTATGTGATCTTATATTTAGAAAAAACTTAAAGACTCCACTAAAAATACCTGTTAAACTGACAAAAAGAATCGGTAAGTTTACAAAATACAAAATCAACATTCAAAAATCCACAATTATACATGCCAACAGAGAACAATCTGAAAAAGAAATCAAGAAAGCAATCCCATTTACAATAGCTACAAAAATATATAAAATCCCTTGGAATCAGTTTAACCAAGGAAGTGAAAAACCTGTACAACAAGTTTTCCTGTACAAGGAAAACTTTAAAACACTGATGAAATATACTGAAGAAGACACAAAACACATGAATGGGTATTCCATGCTCATTAATTGAAAGAATTAATAATCTTAAAATTACAATTTTACCCAAAGCAATTTAAAGATTCCATGTAATTCCTATCAAAATACTAATGATATTTTTCACAGAAATAGAAAAAAAAATCTAAAATTTATATGGAATCAGAAAAGACTCCAAATAGCAAAAGCGATGTTAAACAGGAAAAAAACAAGCTGGTGCATCACACTATCTGACTTCAAAATATACTACAAATCTATATTAACAAAATCATCATGACACTGGCATAAAAACAGACACATAGACCAATGAAATGGAATATAGAACCCAGGTATAAAACCACCCATTTACAGCCAACTTATTTTAGACAAAGGAGCCAAGAACATACAATGGGGAAAGAAGAGTCTTTTCATTAAGTGGTGCTAGCCAAACTGCATAACCATATGCAGAATAATGAAACTTGACCCCTATCTTCACCATATATGAAAATCAAATAAAGTGGATTAAAGACTTAAATCTAAGATCTGAAACTATGAAATTACAAGAAGAAAACATTAGTGAAACCCTCCAGGTCATTGATCTGGACAAAAATTTTTGTGTAAGGCCTCAAAAGCATAGGCAACCAAGCCAAAAATGAACAAATGAGATTATATCAAGCTAAAAAGCTTTTAAAAGCAAATAAAATAATCAACACAGTGAGAGACAACCCACAGAATAAGAAGAAATATTTGCAGACTATCCATCTGACAAGAGATTAATAACCAGGACATATAGTAAACTCAAACAACTTGATAAAAAATTTAAAAACCTAATAATTTGCTTAAAAATAGGGCAAAATAATCAAATAGAAACTTCTCAAAAGACATACAGCCAACAAGTTTATTAAAGAAAAGTCAACATTACTAATTATCAGAGAAATGCAAATCAAAACCACAATGAGATATAATCTCATGCCAGTTAAAATGGCTTTCATCAAAAAGACAGGGAATAATGGATGGTAGAAAGGATGTGGAAAAAGTAGAACCATCATATGCTGTTTGTGGGAATGTAAATTAATATAGCCACTTTGGAAAACTGCATGGAGGTTCCTCAAAAAACTGAAAATAGAGCTATCATATGACCCAGAAATTTCAATACTGAGTATATATTCAAAAAAAGAAAATTAATGTATCAAAGAGATACCTGGATTCCAATGTTTATTGCAGCACTATTCACAATAGCCAAAATATAGAATCAACCTATGTGCCCATAAATAAGTAAATAAAGAAAATGTGGTATATATGCTCAAGGAAATATTATTCATCCATCGAAAAGAATGAAATCCTGTCATTTGCAGCAACATGAATGAACCTGGAAATCATTACATTTAGTGAAATAAGCCAGATATAGAAGGGCAAATATTGCATGTTTTAACTCATGTGGGAGCTAAACAAAGTGGATCTTATGAATATATAGTAGATTGGTAGTTATCAGAGGCTGGGAAAGATATAGAGGAGGAGAGATATATAGGTTGATTAACAGGTATAAAGAACCGTTTGGCAGAGGAAATAGGACCTAGTGTTTGGTAGATCAGCAGGGGGACTATGGTTTAAAATAAAGGTCTATTGAATATTTTTAAATAGCTAGAAGAGGAATTCCAGTGTTTCTAGCATAAATAAAAGACAAATATTTAATGTGATGGATATCCCAATTACACTGATTTAATCTTTACAAAGTATATGAATGGATTAGATAACCACATATATTCCAAAATAGGTATGTCTATTATATATAAATAACAAATTTAAAAATTGTACAGACAGAAATGAAAAAAATAAAACTCATAATAGAGCCAACAAAGTTCAAATCAAATATCCTAAACATCTGTATTAATGACATAATTAAAATATTTGAGAAAAATCACACAAAATAAATAAAAAGAGAAAAAAATACTGAAAGTAATTAGATAAAATATTATAGACATGAGAACAGACAACAGTACTTATGAATAAATATTACCAGTATCTTCAACAAAATAGTTTATGCAATAAACAGATATATCTGAAGACATAATCCAGTCAACACAAAATGAAGCTTAATAAAAACAACTTGGAATTGGAGTAATAAAATGACAAGTTAGTGGCAGTAAGTATAAGATCAATCAAATTAAAGGCAGAATTTAAAATATAAAAATGAAGTTAGTTTTGGCAACAAACAGACTGTATTTTCTATAATGCAGTTTTTGAAACGTAAACTATATAAGTAAAATTAGTTTATTGATAATAGCTTGGAAATTTTTTCTAGAATTTTCAAGGAAAAAGAGGAAATCCAGGAAGATGGGGAAAAAGAGGCATCTGGCATTAGTTTGTTCTTCATTTTAATGGCTGTATTAGTCTGTTTTCACACTGCTATAAACACCTGAGGCTGGAAAGTTTGATTGACTCAGAGTTGTGCTTGGCTGAGGAAGCCTCAGGAAACTTACAATTATGGCGGAAGGAGAAGCAGGCATTTTCTTCACAGGGAAGCAGCATACAAGAAGGGTGAAGGGGGAAGAGTCCCTTATAAAACCATTGGATCTTGTGAGAACTAACTCACTATCACAAGAACAGCAAGGGGAAACCACCCCGATGATCCAATTACCTCCCACCAGGTCCCTCCCTTGACACATGAAGATTATAATTTGAGATGAGATTGGGGTGGGGACACACAGCCAAACCATATCATTCTGCCCCTGGGCCCTTCCAAGTCTCACATCCTCACTTTTCAAAACCAATCATGCCTTCCCAACTGTCCCCCAAAACCAAAGTCTTAATTCATTCCAGCATTAACTCAGAAGTCTAATTCCAAAGCCTCATCTGAAACAAGGCAAGTCCCTTTTGCCTAGAAGACTGTAAAATCTTCTAAGATACAATGGGGCTACAGGCATTGGATAAATGCTCCCATTCAAAATGGGAGAAATTGGCCAAAACAAAGGGATTATAGGGCCCATGCATGTCTGAAATCCAGCGGGGCAGCCATTAAATGTTAAAGCTCCATAATAATCTCCTTTGACTCCATGACTCACATCCAAGGCACACTGATGCACGAGCTCTGCCTTGTGGCTTTTTAGGGTACAGCCCCTCAGCTGCTTTCACAGCTGATATTGAGTATCTGCAGCTTTTTCAGGTGCATGGTACAAGCTGTCAGTGGATCTACCATTTTGGGGTCTGGAAGAGAATGGCCCTCTTCTCACATCTCCACTAGGCAGTGACCCAGGTGGGACTCTGTGGCAGCTCCAACCCCACATTTTCCTTCTGCACTGCCCTAGCAGAGGTTCTTCATCAGGGCTCCACACCTGCATCAGACTTCTGCCTGGACATCCAGGCATTTCTATACATCCTTGGAAATCTAGGCAGGGGTTCCCAAATTTCAATTCTTGAATTTTTTGCACCTGCAGGGCCTACACCATGTGGAAGCTGCCAAGGCTTAGGGCTTGCACCCTGTAGAGCAATAGCCTAAGCTGTACCTTGACCCCTTTTAGTCACAGCTGTAGCTGGAGCAGCTGGGACCCAGAGCACCAAGTCCTGAGGCTGCACAAAGCAGTAGAGCCCTGGACAGTGCCCATGAAATGCTTTTTCCCTTCTAGGCCTCTAGGCCTGTGATGAGAGGGGCTGCCACAAAGGTCTCTGACATGCCCTGGAGACATTTTCCTCATTATCTTGGGCTATTAACATTTGACTCTTCATTACTTATGCAAATTTCTGCAGCTTGCTTGAATTTCTGCACAGAAAATGGGTTTTTCTCTTCTACTACATGGTCAGACTGCAAATTTTCCAAACTTTTACACTCTGTCACTTCTCGAACACTTTATTGCTTAGAAATTTCTTCTACCAGATACCCTAAGTCATCTCTCTCAAGTTCAAAGTTCCACAGATATCCAGAGCAGGGGCAAAATGCCGCCAGTCTCTTTGCTAAAGCACAGCAAGAGTGACCTTTGTTCCAGTTCCAAATAAGTTTCTCATCTCCATCTAAGACCACCTCAGCCTAGACTTCATTGTCCATATCACTATGTGCGTTTTGGTCAAAACCTTTCAAAAGTCTCTACGAAGTTTCAAAGTTTCCCACATCTTTCTGTTTTCTTTTGAGCCCTTTAAATTGTTCCAACCTCTGCTTGTTACCTAGTTCCAAAGTCACTTCCACATTTTCAGGTTATCTTTATAGCAGTACCCAACTCTCAGTACCAATTTACTATATTAGTCCACTTTCACACTGCTATAAAGAAATACTGGAGACTGGGTAATTCATAAACAAAAGAGGTTTACTTGACTCACAGTTTTGCATGGCCGGGGAGGCCTCAGGAATGTTGCAGTCATGGCAGAAGTGAAAGCAGGCACCTTCTTCACCAGGCAACAGAAGACAAGAACGATGAAGAGGAAAGAACCCCTTATAAAACCATGAGATCTTGTGAGAATTCACTCACTATCATGAGAACAGCATGGGGGAACCACCCCCATGATCTAGTCACCTCCAACAAGGTGATTATAATTATAATTCTACCAGGAAACTATAATTTGAGATGAAATTTGGTGGTAACACAGAGTCAAAACCTATCATTGGTTTACGACATTAGATATTCCTGTCTGTTGCTCATTCTGCACATATATCTTCTCTCGCCTTCTTTATTTTGTGTATCAGAGAAGAGGAGCTTATAGATAAATTTCCCAGAATAGGCTTCTGAGTTTAGTTCTGGGTTACAGTCTTTCAATGAGAAGAACTCGATGAAGAAGAGAAAGCCTAGGAAAAGCCCTTGTTTTTCTTCAACAGTGGCAGGCTGTCAGATAGCCAACTCTGGAGTTCACCTGACTGGGTGCTTCAGGCAGCTAGGGTAGTGTGTGGCAACTCTCCTGCTGTTCTTGAAATTCACAAGTTTACAAGGAAGTTCTTCAAATTCACTACTTCTCTTCTGTTGGCAGTTGGGATGATGAAGATGGTTTCACTAAAGAGTCTTTGGTGTTGCAAGTAGCTGAGATGAGATGACCTGCTTCTGCTTCACTGCCTGTCATCCATTCTATCCAGTGCTGACAGAACCTCCAATTTACTGTATTAACACTCTTTCTACCACAAACACTTCAGTAACTTTTGCTTTCCTGTCAGAACCCTGTTTTAATTTTCTTCATTTCTATAATTGAAATATTGAGAAAAATATTACTTCTAACAGTAACCACTAGTAAAACTAGGTTATAATTCTAAATTATGGCAGAGTAAATATTAGAGGAGATTGGAAAATATTGGACAAAACACAAGACTATATACTATTATATACAGATATTGCATATATAGTGTTGGAGAAATAAAGTGTTCTGATACAATAAGGATAACTGAAATAAAATTATCTTTAAAAGATGAATTGTATGATGAAGCAAGAACTGTATGTGGCCTATATATATAGATATATATACACACACTTAAATGGCACATGAACATATTGTAGCAAAAATGATGGACTTTGCCCATTTTTGATATGTCTTTGATATTAAGGCTAATGCTTAGCAAAGATAAATCATATAACATTAACAAAAGACACAGCCCAATACAAACTAAAAGTAATTAAGACAAATCAATTTATTATATAATGCTGAAGAGTGAAAATCCTCAATGAAACCAGATACTGTTCCAAATACTATTAGTCAATGCCATTGAAGAATATAAAACAGCTTAAACACATTATATTTTATATATTACCAAAATTATATGTTGTTTTATATATTATAATATATTGTGTTATATATTATAAATGCCAGGAGATAAATGTATCATGATGTGAAGGAAGTATGGAGAATTTTGTACCTAGAAATTTAGATAAGAAACATGAAAATATTGCAAAGATATTAAAGCTGATTAAATTTGTTGGCTGCAAACAAATATATAGATAGCAACCCAGTCACTTCTCTATAAAGAAACAGTGGACAACAATAGAATTGAATAGAGTAAAAACATATAATATATATTAATGTATTATGTAATGTATCTATAATAGGAGAAATTCTTTTATTTTTAGTAGCATCATGAACAAAATAATATCAATACAACATGGTGTAATTATGAGATACCTACAATTCTCATATAAAGAATATTTTGATTGTGCTACTGTAATAAAACCTGAAAAAGAGACATAGGCCTGATTTCTGGTTATAAAAGGATATTAACTATACTCCATATTTTATTTCTGAGAATTTATTCACAAAAAATAGAAAACAATAAAATAATTATTTTAAAGTTGAAAGAATGTTGAGTTTACTGGGAATAATAATGCCTATAAATATCCAGGCACATTCTGGAAGTTACAGGATACTGAGTAAAATTGCACTGATATTAACCACTTAGAAGGGTATAAATTTATACAGCATTCTATGAAGGCAATTTGGCAAATTCAATCACCTTTTAAAAATTATTTTTAAATATAATTTAGCCAATCCCTTTTTAGGGATTTATCCTTTGAAAATATTTTTGTAGGTATACACACACACACACACACATGCATGTGTGTGCATAGCAACGTTATTTAAATCTGGGAGCAATGGTTATAACAAATAAGCTTATCTATAATATGAAATGGCATTTACCTATTAATAGAATCTGGTAGATGCATTGGCATTATCATAGGAAGTAACAATATATTGTTAAGAAAAAACTAGTTTCAGAAAATATATGTAGAATAAATCAATTTTTCTTAAATATAGGTGCTCATTACATGTGTGCATTAAGAATTTAGAAGTTGATACATTAAACTGTTAATAATCAGTGTTGCTGGGTGTTGAGTTGTTTGTGAACCTTACTTTCAATTTTATACATTTCTGAATTATTGGAATTTTCAAGTATGTTTTACTTTTGCAATCAGTAAAACCAAGCCATTTTTAAAGAAAGATACCTTTGTCCTTTCAGTTGATTAAATAAAGAATTTTATAATGTAGCCAAGATTTATTGAAGCACAAAGTAAAGAAAAGAGGATAATGCAATTATGCAGGTACCTCTGTATCCTACTGCTTTGTTTACCTTGCATAGTGTACTGAGATGGAGAACTATGGCTATAATGAAAACGAATCCTGTGAGCCAGTCGTTTTGTGGACAGATTTATTTTTATAGTTTCCTTAGTGTTAGTCTGTAGGGGAGAAAGACATAACATGAGAATGGGAACAATAAAATATCTCATTTTGTACCTCCTTCTACTGACAGCTGTAAGTAATACCATATGTTTACATATCACCTATTTTAGGGAGTGAAGTATATTTATGGGGAGCTATTCATTGTCAGCACATTCCTGTGCCTGTATGCAGGCTCCATGAGCTGACCATTTGAATAAATTCAATAAATTACCTAATGACAGCTATTTTTTTGCATACTTGTCAATTAAATCTAGCTAATTTACTTTCTAATTTCATTAATTTGTTATGAAATTATTTAATTTTATATTAAATCAAATTCTGACTGGTTTTGTTATTCTGACTGGTTTTTAAACCGTGCATTCAAAATTGTGGCAAATAGGGTAAAACTGCCACAATTTCTGTTTTTCAAAATATTTCAGCATATTCAACAATAATTAGAGTCACATTGAAGTTCTAGTACAGGAAATTGCCTACAAATCCTGCTTACCTTACTTTTTAATTGAGATTCATGACACTTCAGAGGAATTACTTTGGGAAAAACGCCTAAGTCTCAATCTCCCAAGCATCTTTTCATTTAATGCTAAACATCTATCAAGAACCTACTATAAGCTCTAGACGGGCAAAGCTGTACATTATCTTTAAAGGAATACAGGCCATTAAATACAAAGTATGATAAGATAAAAGTGAACATGCATTAGGAGTTCTAAGAAAACGTTTTAACTACCTGCTAACTCAGGAACCAACTGGGCAAAAAAGGATGGTTAAGTAATTCTAGGCAGAACCCATATCTTTTGGGAAAGAACAAAATTGTTATAAAGCATGGGAAAGTCAGTATCTGTTGGGATTGGAACAGAAGTCGGGGGAGGTGAAGTGGCAGAAGATTTGGCTTTTTTTGCTTGTTTGTTTTTTAGAGATGGGGTTTTGCCATGCTGCCCAGGCTGGTCTCAAACTCCTGGGCTCAAGTGATCTGCCCACCTCAGCCTCCCAAAGTGCTGGGATTATAGATATGAGCCACTGCACCCAGCCTCGTGTTAGTCTTGTTTTAGATGTTTAACAAGGATCCTCATGAGGAGTCATTAAAACAGGGGAGTGGTGATAGTAGCAGGAGGCAGCCAAATGCCTGGGCAGATATGGGCGGGTACCTGGTGAAACCCCACCTCCAAGCTGAAGACAGCTGAAAGCCTGAAAGCCAAGCTACAAGTTTAATCCTCAGAGTGGACTGAAAACTTGTCTTCCTGTTTGGCATGCTTTCCTCTGACAGATCCCCACCCTTCACCTATATTACATATACCTATCCTTTCCTAATTGGTTTTCTCTACTGTTGTGTGCGCCTTTGAGTGGTGTCTTCACTTTATCTTTTTTTGCATACTCACAAGTCAATCAGCATGCCCTCACCATCCTGTGCTTATAAAGACTCCAGATTCAGTTGGTAGAGGAAGAAATGGCCTGACTTCAGGGAATAGAGACAGCCTGACTTCGGGGAAGACAACCTGCCATTCCCATCCCCTCTCCAGCTCCCCTCTCTGCTAACAGCTGTTTCTATCACTCAATAAAATTCTCCGCCTTCACCATCTTTCAACTGTTCATGTGACCTCATTCTTCTTGGACGCCAGAAGACCTCATTCTTCTTGGACCTCATTCTTCTTGGATGCTCGGGACCCAATGAGTGCCGGGGGTACCCAGAAAGGCTATCACACCAGCCCTTTGCCATTGCTGGCAGGGGGCAGCCACTTCATGTGATGAGGCAAGGGGCCAACTCAGCTGCTAACACACCACCGTCCACGGATGGTAGAACTAAAGGAGCACTGTAACACCCCCTCTGTGGCTTCGGGGTTGTGGGCCCCCTCACATGGGTACTGTGGCTTTCCCCTCAAGGCAACACACCTGATCTGGCCGCAAGCCCTGCATGGAGCTTGTTTCTGTGTCAGAGCCCAGAGTGGCCAGCTGGATCCTGCACTCACTTGCTCACGTGCTCCTTCCTGCAAGGGACTGAGCACAGTGGGCCGAGTACAGGGAGTGCCCCTGCCTTGAGTCCAGTAAAGGGGCTGAGAGAAATCCTGCATCAATGACACATTTGAATTCCTGTCTCTTTGGCAGTGATGTTAGTATTACAGCAAGGATGTGATCGGACTAGAAATCATAAACCATTATATTTAGCAATATATATTTCTCAGAATTAATCCTTTATAAGGCAAGGTAATTAGAGGCTGAAATTATAAGCTCTGGGCCCTAATCCTGGCATCATCCAGCTGTGTAACTTTTAGCAAATCATTGTTTTATCTTCTCTGCGCCTTAGGTTTCTTATCTGTGAAAATGTTAGTAATAATTATAATAATAATAACAGTAGCTCTCAGGGTTAATATAAGGATTTAAACAATTAATGTATGGAAAGTGCAATTCTCAATAAATGTTAGCTAATGGTTTTATCTTATCTGCCCTCTGTTTCCTCGTTGGTTTTAAAAAATGTTTTAGTCAAGTATCTTTCTTTACAGTAAATTCCACTTTCTTGTCAGGGACCCCCCAGCACTGCCATTCTGCTTTCTTTGTATTCTTTTTCCTCATTCTTTTAGAAACCTGTTGTGATCCTATGGTTAGTAGTTTGTTATTTACTCTCCATTCCATGTAAGCTGCATTTCTTATAAAAGTCTCATACTCCAGAACTTAGTTTTCACTTTCCTTCTCAGACTGGTGTAAATGGTTGAGGGAAAGCATTGTCAAAGCAAGATCTGGGTAGCTGAAACAAAATTACTGTGGGCAAGGAAAATGGATCCTTGTCAGATAGCAAAGGAGTCTTGAAGCCACATATGCAAGGGACATGGAGAGTTCTGCCTGTAGGGACCAAGAGGTTTCAAAGTTTAGCCCACACAATACAGACACAATCTCAGGCAAAGACAAATTTATTCATGTCCCCTTTTTCCCAATCTCAGTCCAGACTGACTCAAGAATCAGTAAAAACAAAGAACTTAAACAATGATAAATCAGAGGGCACATTTGCATTGGGGGAAGAAGTGAGTAGGATCTCTAACAATTTACTGTCATCTATTCATTCAGGAGAAAAATGACAAGTGCCTTTTTTTGTTTTTGTATTTGGTCCAGGGGATAGAGATAAACCTGGCACCAGTTTTGCCTTGATATTTGTAGGGAGTGGAGGAAACAAACAGGAAAGTGGCCAATTATAGGTCTGCACTGTAAGTGCTCAGGTGGGGAGAATTCTTCACTGCGGAGTCTCAGAGAAGACAATTACTGGGCACGGCAGCACTTTCTAGAGGTAACATCTGTTCCTGAGGTGGAGACTGTTTATTCTGTGCTCTTTATGTTTTCTTTTTCAGCTGTGTTTAGGTGGGGAGGGCACGGAAGTGTTTTTGCCGCCCAAGTGTGGAATAAACCACTGCAGATCCAATCTGATACTGATTAAATGAGGGCCTGAAAGTGAGGCCTTCAGGGTGTTTCCCTGTATAGCCTTTCAAATGCTTAGATGAATTACAGTAAATCAATAGAAAACTTTGACATTTGCCCTGTTTGAGTTTCACAGAGTACTAGCTTCTTTTACAGACACTGAGATATTCAAGTTCCCAATTAGGGCCCAAGTGTGATGTTGTATCAAAAGAATTAGAAGGAAAAGCAATGTGTGTGTAGATTATTAAACCAGCTTGTTAATATCCTAAAGTTATTATGACTATCGGAAGCTATTATAGGGGAAATATCATTATAGTCAATAATTTTAACAAAACTCTCTTTCATCTGTCTGCAGATTAATCATTCTCCTTTTATATTCCAATTGTAATTCTACTTCTTTATTTTTTAACTTCTTTCAGAAAGGAAAACATGAAAAATAATTGCATGACAATTTGGCTTAAGTTAAAAATTAACTTAAGTATGAATAGAAGTATGAGACTAGACCCTCTCTCTCACAGCATACAAAAGTCAACTCAAAATGGATTAAACACTTAACCACAAAACCTGAAACTATAAAACTACTAGAAGAAAACATAAGGGAAATGCTCCATGACATTGGAGAATCTTTGCCCATGACATTGGTCTGGGCAAAGATCTTTTAGACAATAACTCAAAATCACAGGCAACGAAAGTAAAAATAGACAAATGGGATTGTATCAAACTGAAAAACTTCTGCATAGCAAAGAAAACAACAAAGTGAAGAGAAAACCTACAGAATGGGATAAAATAGCTAAAAACCATATATCGGACAAGGGTCTAATATAAAAAATATATAAGAAACCCAAACACTTAATAGAAAAAAATAACAATAATCTGATTAAAAGATGAGCAAAAGATTTGAATAGACCCCTCTCAAAAGAAGACATACAAACAGCTAACAGGTATATGACAAATGCTCAATATCACTAAACATTAGGGAGATGCAAATCAAAACCACAATGAGATATCACCTCACCCCAGTTAAAATGGCTATTATCAAAACAACAAAAGGTAATTTATGCTGGCAAGGATGTGGAAAAAAGGGAGCTCTTATGCACTGTTTGTGGGAGTATAAAAAAGTCCAGCGACTATGTAAAACAGTATACAGGTTCTTCAAAAAACTAAAAATAGAGCTACCATTTGATCCAGCAATGCCACTACTGGGTATATATCAAAAAGAAATAAAATCAGTATGTCTAAGAGATATCTGCACTCCCATATTAATTGCAGCATTGTTCACAACAGCTAAGAAATGGAATCAATCCAAGTGTCTATTAACAGATGAATGGATAAAGAAAACAGAGTATAAATGTATACACAATGAAATACTATTTAGCCATAAAAAATAAAATCCTCTCATTTGTGGCAACATGGATAAACCTGGAGGACATTCTGTTAAATGAGCCAGGCATAGAAGCACAAATACTGAATGATGTCATTCATGTACGGAATCTATAAAAGCTGATCTCACAGAATTAGAGAGTAGAATAGTGGTTACCAGAGGCTAGGGAAGGAAGAGGCAAGGAGGAATTAAGACAGATTGGTCAATGGGTATGGGGTCATCGTTAATAGGAATACTAAGTTCTGGTGCATTGTTGTGCAGGAGGATGAATATAATTAATAATATTGTATAATTTACTTCCAAAGAGCTAGAAAAGAGGATTTAGAATGTTGTCACCACAAATAAATGATGAATGGTTGAGATGATGGGAATGATAAATACTCTGATTCAATCATTACAATCATTACAGGTATCAAAACATCTCACTGTAGCCCCATAAATGTGTACGATTACTATGTGCCAATTAAAATCATATATGGATATAATTTTTCTCTAAAAACAGTAATATCTACTTTTGATATTTTCCAGATTATGTTTGGAGATCTGTACATATATCATTTCTTTTAATAAACACAACAGCCTCATCCATCTCTTTTCCATCAATCCATCTACCCAAATATTGTTTCTAACTATTTTGGAAACAATAGTTGCAAATATAGAAGGATATCAAACAAAACAGATCCCTGAGCTGCAAAAATAGACATTAAAAGTTTATGAACTAAATTTCAAGTCATGTGTTATGGAAACAAGTTGCCCTTCCCTGTGAGAATACCTGTGTTATAATTTTTGAAAGAAATTAACTCATTTATCTGGAGAGCTTTGTTTCCTGAAATACTCATCAGGTGACATTCTGGAGAGCCTGTTTTGAATATGTCACCTTCCTCCTGATACTGATGGACACTCTATGTACAAGTTAATATTGTACACCTGTAGATTAGTTTTAGTTCACACTTTCCTAGATGACTTTAAAGAGAACACTGAACAGACATCAGACCAAACAATAGCATTTATCATCCTCCAGTTTACCCCTCTAAATCTTAGCTCCTAAGAACTAACAATATTTTTACTTAATACCTTATTATTGTCCACTAACTCTTTAGGAATCATAAACACAACATTTTAAATATTTTTCTAAGACACTCAAGAGATAGAAAATCAGAAAGAATAAAATACACTAATCACATTTTTAGTTGCTTTATATTTTCAATAATTGTTTAGTATTACAGATAAAGTTGAATTATCTTTTGTTCCTATCCCTAGAACCATTATTCATCTCCCTCTACTGGAGGTATATTTTGTTTAAATTGCATAACATATGTGATGCAAACTATCACGCTGTATATTGTTGAGTTTTTTCCCACTCACTGATTTTTTAATCTCTCCATATTCCAAATATGGTTTTAGTTCAATCTTTTATCCATAGCATTGAATTCCACCTCTTGAATATATCATTTTATTTACTTATTGCTCTGATAAGAGGCATTTAAACTGATTCAATTTTTTAATTTTCATTCCAAAATCTGCTAAAGAGAAATTTTTCTCTGCGCTTATAAAAATGTTCTTTAGGGAATTACTTAGAAAATAAATATTGAATTATATTTATGGTTTCACTGAGTCCTGCCAAATTGTAATGTAAAACATTTTTACCAATTTACAGTCTCTCCAGCAGGGTATGAGAATGCCCATTCCCTACTGTCCCAACTGTCAAATTTTGTTGTTGCTATTACGGACAATCTGATGAGTGATTAAGGGTATCTCTGAAAGGCCATTTTTATCTGAATAATTTTAAGCAACTAAAGTAAACATTAAAACATAAAATATTATCCTGAATCTCCTCCATTAATGAAATAACTTGAAGGTGTTAGAGAGAGGACCAAGGCAAAAACATACCCTAGGGAGGACAGAAACTATTTTTTTTAGTTTTTTGGCCAGAGAAATCTATTATACTGCTACTTCAGGAATTTGTTACACTGCTATTTTGTTTGTGGGAAAGAATGTTATTTATTCATATTGCTGAATAAATAAAACATTGGAATGCAAATTTTCTACTTGAAGTAACCCTGAACAAATGGAAGGCCAGATTAACTATAGGCTTTGGTAAGTGTTTAAATTTTACAAATTTGATGTTTATAATTAGGAAATAATTATAGTGGATAGATTTATTCAGACATACTCTCTGTGCGTTGTAATGCTCCAAAAATAATTAGAGCAGTGTAAAAATGTCACAAAAATAGCAGAATTGACCAAGAGAAAAAAACGTCAAAAGTGAATTAAATTATATATAAAATTTTAATAGAATAAAATAAGCATTAAAAGCTTTACATAAATTTAAAAGTTTAATTAATAGCATAAAAGAGCTGCTAGCTTCTTTACTCTCATTATCTTTGTATTTTACTTATGTTCCCTACACGCCAACTGTATTGAATTCTTACTTCTGCAAGCTTCTCAAGAACTTTAACAATTCGGTACTCTTGTGCATATTGTTCTTACCTGTGTGGCAGAGACTTCTGAGTTTCACCTTCTTCCTTGACACATAGAACTGATTTCCCAAATTCCCACATAGTTGGATACGTTGTATCACTGGATTCCAAAAAATACTATGTGAGCTAAGGAGACATGTCATTTCTTTTATTTGTTTATTTATTTATTTTTATTATACTTTAAGTTTTAGGGTACATGTGCACAACGTGCAGGTTTGTTACATATGTATACATGTGCCATGTGGGTGTGCTGCACCCATTAACTCATCATTTAACATTAGGCATATCTCCTAATGCTATCCTTCTACCCTCCTCCCACCCCATAACAGGCCCCAGTGTGTGATGTTCCCCTTCCTGTGTCCATGTGTTCTCATTGTTCAATTCCCACCTATGAGTGAGAACATGGGGTGTTTGGTTTTTTATCGTTGCAATAGTTTGCTGAGAATGATGGTTTCCAGCTTCATCCATGTCCCTACAAAGGATATGAACTCATCATTTTTTATGGCTGCATAGTATTCCATGTTGTATATGTGCCACATTTTCTTAATCCAGTCTATCATTGATGGACATTTGGGTTGGTTCCAAGTCTTTGCTATTGTGAATAGTACCACAATAAACATACTTGTGCATGTGTCTTCATAGCAGCATGTTTTATAATCCTTTGGGTATATACCCAGTAATGGGATGGCTGGGTCAAATGGTATTTCTAGTTCTAGATCCCTGAGGAATCGCCACACTGACTTCCACAATGGTTGAACTAGTTTACAGTCCCACCAACAGTGTAAAAGTGTTCCTATTTCTCCACATCCTCTCCAGCACCTGTTGTTTCCTGACTTTTTAATGATTGCCATTCTAACTGGTGTGAGATGGTATCTCATTGTGGTTTGCATTTCTCTGATGGCCAGTGATGATGAGCATTTTTTCATGTGTTTTTTGGCTGCATAAATGTCTTCTTTTGAGAAGTGTCTGTTCATGTCCTTTGCCCACTTTTTGATGGGGTTGTTTGTTTTTTTCTTGTAAATTTGTTTGAGTTCATTGTAGATTCTGGATATTAGCCCTTTGTCAGATGAGTAGGTTGCGAAAATTTTCTCCCATTTTGTAGGTTGCCTGTTCACTCTGATGGTAGTTTCTTTTGCTGTGCAGAAGCTCTTTAGTTTAATTAGATCCCATTTGTCAATGCTGGCTTTTGTTGCCATTGCTTTTGGTGTTTTAGACATGAAGTCCTTGCCCATGCCTATGTCCTGAATGGTATTGCCTAGGTTTTCTTCTAGGGTTTTTATAGTTTTAGGTCTAACGTTTAAGTCTTTAATCCATCTTGAGTTAATTTTTGTATAAGGTGTAAGGAAGGGATCCAGTTTCAGCTTTCTACATATGGCTAGCTAGTTTTCCCAGCACCATTTATTAAATAGGGAATCCTTTCCCCATTGCTTGTTTTTCTCAGGTTTATCAAAGATCAGATGGTTGTAGATATGCAGCATTATTTCTGAGGGCTCCGTTCTGTTCCGTTTGTCTATATCTCTGTTTTGGTACCACTACCATGCTATTTTGGTTACTGTAGCGTTGTAGTGTAGTTTGAAGTCAGGTAGCATGATGCCTCCAACTTTGTTCTTTTGGCTTAGGATTGACTTGGTGATGTGGGCTCTTTTTTGGTTCCATATGAACTTTAAAGTAGTTTTTTCCAATTCTGTGAAGAAAGTCATTGGTAGCTTGATGGGGATGGCATTGAATCTATAAATTACCTTGGGCAGTATGGCCATTTTCACAATATTGATTCTTCCTACCCATGAGCATGCAATGTTCTTCCATTTGTTTGTATCCTCTTTTATTTCATTGAGCAGTGGTTTGTAGTTCTCCTTGAAGAGGTCCTTGGAACGTGGAGACATGCCATTTCTAAGCCTCACCCATAAAATCATTACACGCATAAGTCTTTTTTATTTTCCCTTCATGTTCTATCTTGAAGGATATCTGAGTGTCACACTTTGACAGCCACCACAAATATGTAAAATCAAGTGTTCAGACTATAAAACAATGGAGTGGGATATTTACCAAACTTCACATGAATGATTATAACATTGGACACCATTTGTTGCCTACTGAATTTCCATTTGCCCTCTGTATTCCCTATTTACTAAATCTTATAAGTCACATGTTGTATTCCCATCTTCAAAGGTGGATTCCAAAATATCTGCAAGGAGGAGAAAGTCCCCTACCAACCTGCAATAGTTACATAAATGAAAAACAAATGTTTATTTGGAATGAGTCATTATACACTATTTGATCTGTTTTGTTATAGCTAATATTGCCTCAACTAATGCAGTAGAAAATCTCACCCTTCCATGTTCTACCTAAGGAATTCACCTTTATCAGGATCTTTTTGGGAGTCTATGTTGTCTTCCAAAATCAGGAGGATTTTCTGTCTTCCTCCACTGAGTTTTCAAATTCTGTTTATGCCTCTTTTAGAGTGCTTTCCATTTTTATGTATTTGTCTGCCTCAATCACTTTTAAACCTAGCAGTACTTTAGAAAAGTAAACTTTTCAATGAATTCTTATGTCCACGTTGCCTAGCGCAGAGCTTGGCTCATAGAAAACACAATTAAATAAACAAACAAATACATAAATATCAGTATAGATGGAAATGCTTCACACAATATATCATATGGTAAGACGGATCAAATGATTAAATACGATCTCAACTTGGGTCCTCCAAGAAGCAGAGCTAGAAGTGTAAGAAATGTATTGGGAAAGGTCCCATGTAGGGTAAACAGGAAGTGGATAAGCCTAGGCAGGAAGAATCTTCAAATCCCAATGCAGGTCAGATACCTGCAAAAGGAAAGAAGGAAGAACAAAATGGGTAGGAAGAGTCTCATATTCTAGTGAGGCTCTGAAAGTTTCAGGCAGGCCATGGATGTCCTGAGCAAGGTTTACCTCATGGAAAATTTCAGCCTCAGGAAGAAATGGTACAGAACTAGTGCCTCCAGCCTGCTGGCTCGGTAGTGGGTGCAGAGCAGACAGGAAAAGCAACGGTGGATGTAATGGGTAGCACTGCACTGGGGCTGATAATCAGCTATGCACTTGGAAATCTGAGTGACACACTTTCATAGCAACAACAAAAATATAAAATACAATCTTTGTACTAGCCAAAAAAAATAAAGACTAGGTAATTTACCTTATTGTAAATGAATAGTTATTAGACATTATTTATAGCCTACTTTGTTATTTCTTACTTTCTAAATACTATGAATTATATAACTCCATACCAGCGGAAGATGCTATCTGAATTCATCCATTCATGATGATCCTATTTGTTTCACAAGTGCATGATTTAAGAAAATCAATGTGACCTAATTCTGGCAAATGACGTAGAAGAGTATATTGGTGATTTTCTGAAAAAGGTGTGTTCTCTCGGAAAAGATACATACTAAATGAATCAGCTCTTCTCTTCTGAAAGTTACTGCCTCTGGATGTAACACCCAGAACCACCACTAGCTTGAGCCAACATGTTAGGAAGGGAGGAGTCAGGATTATCACAGAGAAGCAGAGCCAGAGGTCTGACCTTGCACATCTAGTACCTACCTCATTTCTGGAGCTCTGGGGTTTCTGCACTCAAGAGAAATACATGATATTTTTATTAGTTAAGCCAGTTTCATCTGTATCTATTATCTGAAGCAGAAAGTGTCCTATTCTAATTATTTTAGAAATATTTTTAAAATTATATGAAAACCAAAATGTACCCATTAGGTACATAAAAATGTAAATACCACAAACGAAAATAATAAAATGGCAGAAAGATGCATAATAATGCATTTCCAACCACTGCAAGCAATCAAAGAAATAATATCATAGGGGCATAATCTCACTTTGGTTTTTAAAAAAGTGATGTGATATTTAATATATGTATAAGGCTTCAGGGAAACTGAATAATTAAATGTAATTTAAAAGCAGTTTAAACTAGAAGTTCATGAAAAATAAATTTGCAATAGATATTAGGCTTCTTAAAATGGCTATAAACCTTAAACCCAATAATTAAAATTACATATATTTTATTCTAGGAAAATAATTGCAAAATAATGTAATATCCCTACGATGAGAATCCTTGTATTTTTTTAATAATGAGAAAGCAAGTAGGTATACCATTATTAGACAACAATGATGAATGACTAATTAAAAAGATGTTCTTAAACTAAAGTAATTGTTTCCCACGTAAAGCTCAGTAATATGAAACACATGGAATACTTGTTATAGGTACAAATTTCTGGCCTCATTTCAAACTTACTGAATCCAAACTTCCTGGGATGCTATCAAGAATCAACATAATTGTTGTGTACATTTCTTTTAAAATTTTTTTTAAATTACAATTTTATGTTAATACTTTTCTTAAAGAAGGTAATGACTGTAAACAGTATTACAAAACTATTCCACACATATAGAATTTACTGCAATTAGATTTGGTCATAAGAGTCTTTTCATATATACACTAAGTCTTACTCAGTATAGAACACTTAACAAGTATTTGTACTCAATACAGTACACTTAATAAGTTTTAATCAATACAAAACACAGGGCTCTGATCCACAGACCTCAGGAATAAACATAAATAACTTTCAGATGGAAAAAAGTATTTAAGAAGACATATCAATATATTCTAAGAAAAGTAAGTATCTAGTAAAATGTTAATCTATTATGAAATAATATAATAGTAGTTGCAAACTTGAAGCATTTATCTACCACAAGCCATAAAAGTGCTGTAGTTTTGATAAACTAGAAAATAAAATGTTTACTACTTTTTGGATTATCTTAAATTATAAGACACTGCAGAAAGTACCAATACTTGTACTTATATCTCAAAAAAAAAATCTTGAAATGAGTTGTGTTGATTTTCTACTGTGAAGTTGGATTTTATCAAGAATTAATCAATCAAGAAATCATTATTTCAATCAGTTTATAGTAATTGAGTTATAATCCTTTTCTGGGTCTGTTAACCGATGGATGGGTTTGTCTTGCCATCACTTCTTACTAATATCTATTGTCAAGTTATCATTCATTCGTTTTAAGATGATGATACTTCAAAGAAAATAGCACAAATGAATAACAGAAATATCCTCATGTTAAATTTCCATGACATCAGAAATTACTTTAGAAAAATAAAAATGTTAAAAATAAGCTACTGTTATTACAAACTGAATATTACTGGTATATTTTAATTTCTAAAATCCAGCCAGTACTCCTTTAAAATTTATTTGAAAATTAAAAAGACATAGTAAAATGCATTACACTTATACATGTCTATTATTTTAAAATATCTGGGAAAGTAACAAGTATATATATTTTAATCTCAAAATCACAAAAGGAAGTTGACGGATGCTAAATTAAGTAGGAAAAGAAGAAGAAGGGGAGAAGGAAGAAGTCACTGCTACCAGTATTTATAATTTTCTTGCTGTTTGCTAGGTTCTGTTTTAAACACTCTGTGTTTAATCTTGAGTATAAACTTATGCAGTGGTACTGTTAGTATAACCTTTTTATAGATGAGAAATTGAGGTGATAGTGGGTTAGGTAATTTGCCCATGGTCCTATAGTGGAGGCAAGATACAAAGTCACACAGCCTAGGACTCCAGAGCACACACTTACCTCTGCTGTATTATGGTTTCAGTATGATAGAGTTTAACAGACCTGGATTTTAATAAGAAGTCTACAAACTCCCATTCAGTGTGAAAATTATTTAAAATTACTTGACTTTATACTCCAATCTATAAAATTCAAATAATATTAATATTAGTGAAGAAATACATAGCTTTCTTCTCCCCCACCCTTTATTTCTTTCACCTGAATTTAAGTGAGGACTACAATAATTTCAAAGACCAGCACAGTGACAACTTACTTCCTCATATTTACTATTCTCATAAGAACCAAGGTAAAGGGTTATATCAAGAATGCCTGAGACTAAAGTATAATACTTGCTCAGCACTTTACAATTGTAGTATTTTCACAGAGAGTGGGGACAGATAATATTATGTACATTTGCCAATTAAAAAATTAGGCTAAAAATATTAAATGACTTGTACAAGGTTGCATTGATTAAAAGCTATATTTTAATCCTTGCTTTGGTTTAAGCTTTATAATTATAGGCAACTCCATTGCTTCATCTTTGAAATGATCAATTGGTATCATATACTGCACAAAGTTTCTATGAACAGAAGATTGAGGCATATGAAAATTTTTGAAAGGTGAAAAATTACTAATACAAACATCCTAATCAACCTAATCTTGTTTATATGACAGCAAATAGATACTATATTTTAAATGCATATTTCAAGACATAATAATAACAAATGTTACATAATAAAACACTACGTAATAAATATCAGAATTGCTTCCCATGAAGTCTCAAGAACCACAAATTAAGAAATTACTAGTACTATCAAAACATTATAACTACTGGTCAGCTACCATCAGCTGGTTAATTTCTTGCTAGGTAGAGAGGAATTATGTATTCTAGGAGCTATTAAATTTCAATATTGATGTTGATTAATTTTTTGAGACTGTAATCGTTGTCTCTTTGATACAAACAGGAGGCAGGTAAACCCTAGGCAGAAAAGGATGGGGTCCCTGCAAAGCCCCACCCTCAAGCCTGAACCCACAGCCCAAAGTGAGAACATGCATTCCTATCTTTCTGCCTGAATGTTGCCTTTTCCAAAACCACCCTGGCCCATCTTGCCCTGGCTATTCCTGTACCCATAAAAACCCTATGCTCCACCAGTGGAGTGGCAGAGCAGCAGAGTGGCAGAGAAGGAGAGAAAAGAAGCAGTCAGACATCTGAAGTAGCAGCATGACTTCAGAGGGATGGCTTGACAGTGGGACCTTGGAGAAGAGTTCAGCCGGGGACTGCTGAACTCCAGGGGAAAACCACCTTCCCCCTTCATCCCCTTTTCAGCTCCCCATTCCACTAAGGGCCACTTCCATCACTTGATAAAATTCTCCACATTCACCACCCTTCAATTTGTTCACATGACCTGATTTTTCCTGGATGCCAAACAAGAACTAGGGTACCAAGAGGGTGGGTCCAAAAGGCTGTCACACTGTTCCTCCACTGAGCTGTTTAACATTTAAGCTGTCTGTGAAAGGCAAAGCTAAAGGAGCACACTATAACACATGTCCTCTGGGGCTCTGAGGGTCATAGGCAACCTCTAGATGCTGCTGCAAGCCGCATAGAGTTCTGCTTCTGCTGGTTGCCCAGAAGGGCTTGTCCTGGCCCCTGAACCCATTCACCTGCATGCTCCCCCTCCCATGAGGAGTTGAGAGCTATGAGCTGAGTAAAGGAGCCAGAGCCAAACCCTGTGTGAGTCCCGTGAAAGGGTCAAGGTTACTATCCCACTTCACCTTCTGTGTATTCATATTTGAATGCTGGAGGAAATAGTTTCAGCTTATTTAAATAATCTTAACTCTAATAATGTCCTTCATTGAAATTATGACTTCCACGTGTTTATCTTTTTATCAAACCCTACGGTAATGTTTTGGAAATATCCCCAAAACTTTTAGAAATAAACTTCAGTGTTTTTAACTGAAAAGTCTCTTTTAGCATTTTGTTAAAAGTTAAAACATGAAATACTTTGTGTTGACAAGTAGTAAAGAATGATTTGCCTGTCATTTGAAATGGTTCAGCTATAAAGTACTGACATATGAAACTTACAACAGAAAATTCAGAATGACCTTACCCTCAAATGATAAAAATGGGAAACTTTGTAATAAATTTCTCTTAAGTATTTCCTTAACAACGTACTTCAGTGTTCCAGCTCTATAGAGCTCCTCATAATACACTGGATTAAATCAAGTTAACTCTCACGGACTCTTGAAATGGCTTAGTATCACCTTCTTCCAGCTAGGTGAAGGTTAAACAGAGGTCGAATACTTCATACTAGATGAAATAACACAGAAAAAATCATCTCCCCCTGATATATTCATCTTCAAATTCAATCTTCTTCTACCTCGTTTCTACTCAATTATCAGTCCTAATTCTTCTTTCTTCTCAGCCTCTGAAGAAGCCCACCCTTCTTCCCTTCCTTCTGCAATGTTCAGTAAAACAGATCTTCATTAACAAATGTGTGACTACTGCAATAACAACTAAATGATTTATGTTCAACCTCATATTTTAGTCCTTTATATAGTCTAGTGCTAGATCACTTTTTAAGCATAGTCTTTTCCCCCCAAATATTTTTATGCTTAAAATTTTACAATGTCTCCTTTAAAAATATTCATTAAGGTACTTAGTCAAAAATAATTATTGAACATATCAGTGTACTAGATAATATGTTAAACAATGAACAGTGAGCAAAATAAGCACAGTTTCTCCATTCGTGTATTATATAGTCTGAGTGAGATATAGAGGGGAGTTTAGGGGATGGAAAAAGAAGCAAACAGAAAAATTAAAAATTATAACTAGTATCATGAAGGAAAAAAATGTTAAAATGCAGAATAATAGAAGCTATTCTACTTTACATAGGCTATTTTCAAATCTGTTCTATGCAAAAAAGAAGACCTTTAAACTGAGATCTGAATAGGAAGAAATGAGCTGAGAATCTACAAATGAAAGTGGTTGGAAAAGATCTTGGAAACCAAAAGGAAAACAATGTCAGCAGGTCATCTATAAAGGGAAAGTGAAATGAAATAAGACTGCATATACAGAGAGGGTTAGAAAATACAGGCCTTTGTAGAACATATACTAAGTTTTAGATTATATTCTAGCCATAATTAACATAACTGCTTATTGTAGAATTTAAAACATAAAACATTTAAAATATTGCCACAATCCCATTTTATGCCTTTTTACTCCCTTGCTTTTGAAACTCAGCCAATAGCCCCATAAACTGTTCTTTAGGATAAAGATAGAAATTGGTCTTTCTAGTCTTAAAGCTTGAAACTTGTATTTGTTTTATCTGAATTCCTTCCTCAGGAAAGGACCTTCAAACTCTCAAAAAAAAAAAAAATGTACCAAAGAACAGAAACTCACCAGAACACCACATCCAGACAATGAGACTTTGGACTCCTCATTATGATTGCTTTCTTTCCCCTCCCTAATTCTTGTTTTCTTACACATTGTTACACTTCTTCCCTGATGTATAAACCTCTGCTTTTATTCAGTCAGTGAGATGGATTTGAGACTGAGTTCCCATCTCCTTGGCTGCAGCACCCGATTAAAGCCTTCTTCCTTGGCAATACTTGTCTCCTTGGCAATACTTCTCTCAGTGATTGACTATCTGTGCAGCCAGCAGCAGGACCTAGACTGAACCCCTGGTGTTTTGGTAACACTTTCTAGGCAATCTGGTCTGCTTTCTGTTACTCAGTAAGACTTTTGCTTTTTCTTCCCTAAATTTTTGCTTACATACTTTCCTCTACTTATAACTTTGTTACCTTAATTCTGCCTACCAACAGCTACACCATTCTTCAAAGCCTGGAGCAAATTTTACTCGCTCTGTGAAGCACCCCTAAATATTCTAGCCAGAGCATCTTTCTCTCTCGCCCCCTCACACACACTCTCCTCTCTCCCTACCCTCCTCACATTCAAAGACTTTTAAAACTTTATTTATATAACACATAATAAGAAACTACATTTTCATAGAGTTTTAGAATTTATAAACTGATTCATATATATGCCCTAACTATGCAATCTATTAGTCGGGTTCTAGAGATAAAAAACCAAAGGGCATATGAGTTAAGGGGACTGCTTAAGTATGCTCAGCTATGAAGTAGTGAGGTTCTAATTCAATTCCAGATGCTTTAATGATGAAACTCTTATTTTTAATAGCTGCAGTGTGTGCCCAACACTTCTGCTTTTCATTTTAATTATCTGTGCGCCTAACCTTTGTTCTGTTTAGGCAGACCCTTAAGATGTGAAACCAAATCGTATTTGTTGCTTTTTTCTTTCTCTCAATGTTTAGCAAAGTATCTGTCATGTAGTGGGCACTCAAATATTTGCTTAAGTTAATAGGATCATTCCTCATCAATGTAACAGGTCCCAAACTATATCAAAGAGAAATATTTTTATTCCTTTCACAACATCAATGATATATGCAGAAATCATTTATTTTCTCCCTAGTCAGATCCATTACTTAACCCATTTTTCCCCATAAGAATTGGGTACATATGGACACAAAGAAAGAAATAACAGATGCAGGGGACTTCTTGAGGGTGGGGGGTGAAAGGAGGGTGAGAATTGAAAAACTACCTATCAGGTATTACGCTTCTTACCTCAGTGATGAAATAATTTGTACACCCCAAACCCTTACAACAGGTAATTCATCTATATAGCAAACCAGCCCATGTACCCCCTGAACCAAGATAAAAGATAAAAAGAATGTCATTAGTATCTTCAAGCTTTTGAGCTACTTTGTTTACTCTTTACTTAAATGGCCTCTTTCTTCATAAGGAAAATAAAGGCAACTAATTATGACCTCAGTCAGCTGATCAACCACATTTAGAAATGTGCCTGCACCTAAATATATTGTTAATTCCTTTGCTTATGTCTCAGAAGTTCTTTCTCTCCTCTAGTCCAAAGACAGTCGCTCCACAAGTGCACTGGATGTCACCATATCCTCTCATCTGTCCCATGATCTTGCTTCATCAATTTTACCAACTCTCACAAATATATCCAGCCCCCATATCTCTACTTTCTTATGTTCTACTTAAGTTAATGACCAATATAATCACATACTAAAAGAACTTTCTCCAAATTACCTTGTGTTGAACTAAAATTGAATTCTTTGACTAACATTACTTATACTGTGCTATTTTTCTTCTTGGGGTAGATTCCTCTAAATTATGACTTTATTGCTTTAATAATTTTTGTTCTTAATGACTTTGGATATTGTCTAAAAATATAGTTAGCCACAGTGTCAGATGGCTGCTGACTATTCCAGGTCAATAAAGCCAAGGTTAAAGGAGCCAAAATAATCTTAGTAAAGTCGGGCATGATCAACACTAATAAAGTTAACTGGAAAAAAAATGACAGAATCAAAACGCAGTCAGCCCAGATTGCTGGAGGTCCTAGGGCTATGAAAGTGATGGATAGCATCACAGATTGGAAAAGACATAAATCCTTCATGTGCATCACTAGTGATCCATGAACCTGAAGTGTTACATGTTGTAAACCAATTCGATGTTTAAAAGATTTTATTATTTTAAGAAATTTATCATATATTGCTTAAATTAGGAAACTAATTTAACAAAATGTTCCTTTGTGATTTACCCAAATAAAAAAGGTACATATTTTTGAGACATAAGTACATGGATACATAAATTTAATCATCTGTGTACAATTTCTGGCATAATTTTCAGGTCAGTTTAATCTGTAGCTCTTAACAAAGGTGACATTCTATAATTTTCCTTCCATGGTCTTCTGGAGATCTTTTTTTCTCTATTTAAATTATCTTGTTTAGATATAAAAATCATGTCCATATGTAACATTGGAAAATACACAATATGTTAAAGGCAAAACAATCATAAAGGCAAACAATCATCACCCTAAAATAATATCATTACCATAGGGCTCTGAATCACTTTTTCTTGTTTTAAGCATCTTTCTATAAACACTAAAGCTCATCCCATTACAAATTTTGCATTTTTTACCTAAACTAAACATTTTACATGATATTACAAATTCTCCATAAGCATAATTTTCAATAACACATTTGCCTAAGTTCCTTAATATATTCCATAACAATTATTGCATCAATACTCATTTAAAATGTATCTAATGGGGCTTGTAAAATAATAAATGCTGCACTGTAAAATATGAAGTTTTATGCTACATTTAATATTATTTTCTTACTATTAATTCCCAGACATAGGAGTAGGAAGTCCAAGTAAAATATGTTTGGCCATTTTAACTTTTGATGCATTGCTTTTCTTTCGTCTCGAGGAAAAACTCATCATAGGTATATCAAAAAACCTAGATCTTTGTCATAACTGAATAATACTATTAACAAACAATCTTTACTTTTTAAATACAGCCATGTATCACATGACATTTTGGTCAATGACAGACTGCATATACAATAGTCTGCATATACAGCTTTGGTCCCCTAAGATTATAATGGGCTGAAAAATGTTCTATCTCCTAGTGAGATTGTAGCCATTGCAAGGCCACAGTGCAATACATTAATAAGGTGTTTGTGGTGAAACTACTGTAAACATCCTACTGTTCTAACTTTTTATTGTTATACTTACAGTATACTCCATATATGTACATTTAACTGTAAAACAGCCTCAGGCTGGTCCTCCAGGAGGTATCCAGAAGAAGGCGTTGTTAGGCATTGTTATCACAGGAGATAACAGCTCTATGTGTGTTATTGGCTCCTGAGGACCTTCCAATGGGAGAAGATGCAGAGGTGGAAAATAGAGATACTGTTGATTCTCATCCTGTGTAGGTTTAGGCTAAAGAATATATTTGTGTCTTAATTTTAACAAAAAGGGAAAAAATAGAAAAAAAAAGCTTATAAACTAGTGCTATAAAAATGTTTTGATACAGCTGTGCAATGTGTTTGTGTTTTAAGTGACAAAAGAGTTACAAATTTAAGTTACAAAGTGAAAACGTTATAGCAATTTAAGTTTAATTTATTATTAAAAAGAAAATTTTTTAAATTTACTGTAGCGTAAGTGTAGGCTACGGTAGGCTAAGTGTAGTGTATAAAGTCTAGAATAGTGTCCAGTAATGCCAGGCATCCATTCACATTCACTCACCATTCACTCTTTGGCTCACTCAGTGTAACTTCCATTCCTGCAAGCTTCATTCATGGTAAGCATCCTATACAGGTGTATCATTTTTTATCTTTCACACAAGATATTTTTACTGTACTTTTTTCTATGTTTAAATACACAAATACTTAACATTGTGTTACAACTGCCTACCGTATTCAGTATAGTAACATGCTATACAGGTTTGCAGCCCAGGTTTGTAGTTGGCTGCATGATCTAGGTTTGCGTAAGTACACTCTATGATGATCACACAATGACAAAATCACCTAATAACACATTTCTCAGAACATACCTCCATGGTTAAACATTGCATGACTGTATATTAAAAATACCACTTAATCGCTTATGGATTCTGTATTTGTTGATTGCTAAAATGGCTAGGAAATTGATAATTTCATTAATCACTGCAATTTCACATTGTGTTAATTTTGTTACAATTTTAGGAGCCCTCTTCAGGAGTCCTGGTCTCTAGAATGACTAGAATACTTTTGTTCACCAATAAGAACCTTTGGCATATCACAATGCTTTATAAATATGACAAATTTATCAATAAATATTTTGATTGATTTAAGCATGAATTGATTAATAAATGTATGGATGAACGTAAATATCAGTCTGGTTGCCAAAAACATCAGAATTTTTATATAAAGTTCCACAAATGGCTGGCATGGAAACATTTAAAGTTAGTATCACGGGTGTATTTTTTCTAATAACATTTTCTTTTTTAATTTTTTTTTCAATTGACAAAAATTGTGTATCTTCATACACAACATGTTATTTTGAAATATACACACATTACATAATGGCTAAAACGAGCTCATTAACGTGCATTACTTCACATACTTTTCATTTTTTGTGTGATGGGAATACTGAAAATCTACTTTCTTAGCAGTTTTCAAGAATATAATACATCTATGTGTACAATAAATCTTTTGAACTTATTCCTCCTAACTAAAATTTATTATTTCACTAATATCTCCCCATTCCTTCAGTTTCTCCAGCGCTTAGTAACTACCATTCTCCTTTCAATTAATGAGTCCAACTTTTTTAGATTTCACCTAAAAGTCAGATCATGTGGTATTTGCCTTTCTGTGACTGGCTTATTTCATTTACATAATATCATCTGGGTTCATCCATTTTGTTGCAAATAACGAATTTCATTCTTTTTAAAGGTTGAATAGTATTCCATTGAGTATTCATACTACATTTAAAAAATTTATTCTACTGATTTTGTTGTTGTGGTTGTTGTTGTTGTATTTTTTTTTTATTATACTTTAAGTTTTAGGGTACATGTGCCCAATGTGCAGGTTAGTTACATATGTATACATGTGCCATGCTGGTGTGTTGCACCCATCAACTCGTCATTTAGCATTAGGTATATCTCCTAATGCTATCCCTCCCACCTCCCCCCACCCCACAACAGTCCCCAGAGTGTGATGTTCCCCTTCCTGTGTCCATGTGTTCTCATTGTTCAATTCCTACCTATGAGTGAGAACATGCAGTGTTTGGTTTTTTGTCCTTGCAATAGTTTACTGAGAATGATGATTTCCGATTTCATCCATGTCCCTACAAAGGACATGAACTCATCATTTTTTATGGCTGCATAGTATTCCATGATATATATGTGCCACATTTTCTTAATCCAGTCTATCATTGTTGGACATTTGGCTTGGTTCCAAGTCTTTGCTATTGTGAATAGTGCCGCAATAAACATACGTGTGCATGTGTCTTTATAGCAGCATGATTCATAGTCCTTTGGGTATATACCCAGTAATGGGATGGCTGGGTCAAATGGTATTTCTAGTTCTAGATCCCTGAGGAATCGCCACACTGACTTCCACAATGGTTGAACTAGTTTACAGTCCCACCAACAGTGTAAAAGTGTTCCTATTTCTCCACACCCTCTCCAGCCCCTGTTGTTTCCTGACTTTTTAATGATTGCCATTCTAACTGGTGTGAGATGGTATCTCATTGTGGTTTTGATTTGCATTTCTCTGATGGCCAGTGATGATGAGCATTTTTTCATGTGTCTTTTGGCCGTACAAATGTCTTCTTTTGAGAAGTGTCTGTTCACGTCCTTTGCCCACTTTGTGATGGGGTTGTTTGTTTTTTTCTTGTAAATTTGAGTTCATTGTAGATTCTGGATATTAGCCCTTTGTCAGATGAGTAGGTTGCGAAAATTTTCTCCCATTTTATAGGTTGCCTGTTCACTCTGATGGTAGTTTCTTTTGCTGTGCAGAAGCTCTTTAGTTTAATTAGATCCCATTTGTCAATGTTGGCTTTTGTTGCCATTGCTTTTGGTGTTTTAGACATGAAGTCCTTGCCCATGCCTATGTCCTGAATGGTAATGCCTAGGTTTTCTTCTAGGGTTTTTATAGTTTTAGGTCTAACGTTTAAGTCTTTAATCCATCTAGAATTAATTTTTGTATAAGGTGTAATGAAGGGATCCGGTTTCAGCTTTCTACATATGACTAGCCAGTTTTCCCAGCACCATTCATTAAATAGGGAATCCTTTCCCCATTGCTTGTTTTTCTCAGGTTTGTCAAAGATCAGATAGTTGTAGATATGTGGGATTATTTCTGAGGGCTCTGTTCTGTTCCATTGATCTATATCTCTGTTTTGGTACCAGTACCATGCTCTTTTGGTTACTGTAGCCTTGTAGTATAGTTTGAAGTCAGGTAACGTGATGCCTCCAACTTTGTTCTTTTGGCTTAGCATTGACTTGGTGATGCAGGCTCTTTTTTGGTTCCATATGAACTTTAAAGTAGTTTTTTCCAATTCTGTGAAGAAAGTCATTGGTAGCTTGATGGGGATGGCATTGAATCTCTAAATTACCTTGGGCAGTATGGCCATTTTCAGGATATTGATTCTTCCTACCCATGAGCATGGAATGTTCTTCCATTTGTTTGTATCCTCTTTTATTTCGTTGAGCAGTGGTTTGTAGTTTTCCTTGAAGAGGTCCTTCACATCCCTTGCAAGTTGGATTCCTAGGTATTTTATTCTCTTTGAAGTAATTGTGAATGGGAGTTCACTCATGATTTGGCTCTCTGTTTGTCTGTTATTTGTGTATAAGAATACTTGTGATTTGTGTACATTGATTTTGTATCCTGAGACTTTGCTGAAGTTGCTTATCAGCTTAAGGAGACTTTGGGCTGAGACAATGGGGTTTTCTAGATATACAATCATGTCGTCTGCAAACAGGGACAATTTGACTTCCTCTTTTCCTAATTGAATACCCTTTATTTCCTTCTCCTGCCTAATTGCCCTGGCCAGAACTTCCAACACTATGTTGAATAGGAGTGGTGAGAGAGGGCATCCCTGTCTTGTGCCAGTTTACAAAGGGAATGCTTCCAGTTTTTGCCCATTCAGTATGATATTGGCTGTGGGTTTGTCATAGATAGCTCTTATTATTTTGAGATATGTCCCATCAATATGTAATTTATTGAGAGTTTTTAGTATGAAGGGTTGTGGAATTTTGTCAAAGGTCTTTTCTGCATCTATTGAGATAATCATGTGGTTTTTGTCTTTGGTTCTGTTTATATGCTGGATTACATTTATTGATTTGCGTATATTGAACCAGCCTTGCATTCCAGGGATGAAGCCCATTTGATCATGGTGGATAAGCTTTTTGATGTGCTGCTGGATTCGGTTTGCTAGTATTTTATTGAGGATTTTTGCATCAACGTTCATCAAGGATATTGGCCTAAAATTCTCTTTTTTGGTTGTGTCTCTGCCCGGCTTTGGTATCAGGATGATGCTGGCCTCATAAAAGGAGTTAGGGAGGATTCCCTCTTTTTCTATTGATTGGAATAGTTTCAGAAGGAATGGTACCAGTTCCTCCTTGTACCTCTGGTAGAATTCAGCTGTATCCACCTGGTGCTGGACTCTTTTTGGTTGGTAAGCTATTGATTATTGCCACAATTTCAGAGCCTGTTATTGGTCTATTCAGAGATTCAACTTCTTCCTGGTTTAGTTCTTGGGAGGGTGTATGTGTCGAGGAATTTATCCATTTCTTCTAGATTTTCTAGTTTATTTGCATAGAGGTGTTTGTAGTATTCTCTGATGGTAGTTTGTGTTTCTGTGGGATCGGTGGTGATATCCCTTTTATCATTTTTTATTGCGTCTATTTGATTCTTCTCTCTTTTTTTCTTTATTAGTCTTGCTAGCGGTCTATCAATTTTGTTGATCCTTTCAAAAAACCAGCTCCTGGATTCATTAATATTTGAAGGCTTTTTTGTGTCTCTATTTCCTTCAGTTCTGCTCTGATTTTAGTTATTTCTTGCCTTCTGCTAGCTTTTGAATGTGTTTGCTCTTGCTTTTCTAGTTCTTTTAATTGTGATGTTAGGGTGTCAATTTTGGATCTTTCCTGCTTTCTCTTGTGGGCACTTTGTGCTATAAATTTCCCTATACGTACTGCTTTGAATGTGTCCCAGAGATTCTGGTATGTTGTGTCTTTGTTCTCGTTGGTTTCAAAGAACATCTTTAATTCTGTCTTCATTTCATTAGATACCCAGTAGTCATTCAGGAGCAGGTTGTTCTGTTTCCATGTAGTTGAGCGGTTTTGAGTGAGTTTCTTAATCCTGAGTTCTAGTCTGATTGCACTGTGGTCTGAGAGACAGTTTGTTATAATTTCTGTTCCTTTACATTTGCTGAGGAGAGCTTTACTTCCAACGATGTGGTCAATTTTGGAATAGGTATGGTGTGGTGCTGAAAAAAAATGTATATTCTGTTGATTTGGGGTGGAGAGTTCTGTAGATGTCTATTAGGTCTGCTTGGTGCAGAGCTGAGTTCAATTCCTGGGTATCCTTGTTAACTTTCTGTCTCGTTGATCTGTCTAATGTTGACAGTGGGGTGTTAAAGTCTCCCATTATTATTGTGTGGGAGTCTAAGTCTCTTTGTAGGTCACACAGGACTTGCTTTATGAATCTCAGTGCTTCTGTATTGGGTGCATATATATTTAGGATAGTTAGCTCTTCTTGTTGAATTGATCCCTTTACCATTATGTAATGGCCTTCTTTGTCTCTTTTGATCTTTGTTGGTTTAAAGTCTGTTTTATCAGAGACTAGGATTGCAACCCCTGCCTTTTTTTGTTTTCCATTTGCTTGGTAGATCTTCCTCCATCCTTTTATTTTGAGCCTATGTGTGTCTCTGCATGTGAGATGGGTTTCCTGAATACAGCACATTGATGGGTCTTGACTCTTTATCCAATTTGCCAGTCTGTGTCTTCTAATTGGAGCATTTACTCCATTTACATTTAAAGTTAATACTGTTATGTGTGAAATTGATCCTGTCATTATGATGTTAGCTGGTGATTTTTCTCGTTAGTTGATGCAGTTTCTTCCTAGTCTCGATGGTCTTTACATTTTGGCATGATTTTGCAGCGGCTGGTACCGGTTGCTCCTTTCCATGTTTAGTGCTTCCTTCAGGAGCTCTTTTAGGGCAGGCCTGGTGGTGACAAAATCTCTCAGCATTTGCTTGTCTGTAAAGGATTTTATTTCTCCTTCACTTATGAAGCTTAGTTTGGCTGGATGTGAAATTCTTGGTTGAAAATTCTTTTCTTTAAGAATGTTGAATATTGGCCCCCACTCTCTTCTGGCTTGTAGAGTTTCTGCTGAGAGATCTGCTGTTAGTCTGATGGGCTTCCCTTTGTGGGTATCCCAACCTTTCTCTCTGGCTGCCCTTAACATTTTTTCCTTCATTTTAACTTTGGTGAATCTGACAATTATGTGTCTTGGAGTTGCTCTTCTCGAGGAGTATCTTTCTGGCATTCTCTGTATTTCCTGAATCTGAACGTTGGCCTGCCTTGCTAGATTGGGGAAGTTCTCCTGGATAATATCCTGCAGAGTGTTTTCCAACTTGGTTCCATTCTCCCCGTCACTTTCAGGTACACCAATCAGACGTAGATTTGGTCTTTTCACATAGTCCCATATTTCTTGGAGGCTTTGTTCATTTCTTTTTATTCTTTTTTCTCTAAACTTCCCTTCTTGCTTCATTTCATTCATTTCATCTTCCATCACTGATACCCTTTCTTCCAGTTGATCGCATCAGCTCCTGAGGCTTCTGCATTCTTCACGTAGTTCTTGAGCCTTGGTTTTCAGCTCCATCAGCTCCTTTAAGCACTTCTCTGTATTGGTTATTCTAGTTATACATTCGTTTAAATTTTTTTCAAAGTTTTCAACTTCTTTGCCTTTGGTTTGAATTTCCTCCTGTAGCTCAGAGTAGTTTGATCGTCTGAAGCCTTCTTCTCTCAACTCGTCAAAGTCATTCTCTGTCCAGCTTTGTTCTGTTGCTGTTGAGGAGCTGCGTTCCTTTGGAGGAGGAGAGGCGCTCTGATTTTAGAGTTTCCAGTTTTTCTGCTCTGCTTTTTCCCCATGTTTGTGGTTTTATCTACTTTTGGTTTTTGATGATGGTGATGTACAGATGGGTTTTTGGTGTAGATTTCCTTTCTGTTTGTTAGTTTTCCTTCTAACAGTCAGGACCCTCAGCTGCAGGTCTGTTGGAGTTTGTCGGAGGTCCACTCCAGACCCTGTTTGCCTGGGTATCAGCAGTGGTGTCTGCAGAACTGTGGATTTTCATGAACCGCGAATGCTGCTGTCTGATCATTCCTCTGGAAGTTTTGTCTCAGAGGAGTACCCAGCCGTGTGAGGTGTCAGTCTGCCCCTACTGAGGGGTGCCTCCCAGTTAGGCTGCTCGGGTGTCAGGGGTCAGGGACCCACTTGAGGAGGCAGTCTGCCCATTCTCAGATCCCCAACTGCGTGCTGGGAAAAACACTGCTCTCTTCAAAGCTGTCAGACAGGGACAATTAAGTCTGCAGAGGTTACTGCTGTCCTTTTTTTGTCTGTGCCCTGCCCCCCAGAGGTGGAGCCTACAGAGGCAGGCAGACCTCCTTGAGCTGTGGTGGGCTCCACCCAGTTCGAGCTTCCTGGCTGCTTTGTTTACCTAACCGAGCCTGGGCAATGGTAGGCACCCCTCCCCCAGCCTCGCTGCCACCTTGCAGTTTGATCTCAGACTGCTGTGCTAGCAATCAGCAAGACTCTGTGGGCGTAGGACCCTCTGAGCCAGGTGCGGGATATAATCTCCTGGTGCACTGTTTGGTAAGCCCGTCGGAAAAGCGCAGTGTTCGGGTTGGAGTGACCCGATTTTCCAGGTGCCGTCTGTCACCCCTTTCCTTGACCAGGAAAGGGAACTCCCTGACCCCTTGCGCTTCCCGAGTGAGGCAATGCCTCGCCCTGCTTCAGCTGGTGCACTGTGCGCTGCACCCACTGTCCTGCACCCACTGTCTGGCACTCCCTAGTGAGATGAACCTGGTACCTCAGATGGAAATGCAGAAATCACCCATCTTCTGCGTTGCTCATGCTGGGAGCTGTAGACTGGAGCTGTTCCTATTCGGCCATCGTGGCTCCTCCTCCTATTCTACTGATTGACACTTAGGTTGATTCCATATGTTGGCTATTATGAATTACTCCTGCAATTAACATGGGAATGCAGATATCCCTTTGACATACAGATTTACACCCAGTAGTAGGATTGGTGGAACATAAGCTAGTTCCATTTGTAGTTTTTTGAGGAACCACTATATTATTTTCCATACTGGCTATACTAGTTTACATTACCAGCAGCAGTGTGCAAGTGCTGTGTATTTTCCACATCCTCTCCAAAACCTGTAATTTCTTCTATTTTTTATAATAGCCATCCTTGCAGTTATGAGATGATATCTCATTGTGGTTTTAATTTGCATTTTCCTAATGATTAGTAATGTTGAGCATTTTTTCATATACCTGTTGGCTATTTGAATGTCTTCTTTTGAGAAATATCTATTTAGATCCTTTGCCCATTTTTTAAATCAGGTTTTTTCTTACTAACAGAAACTGAGATGAGTTATTTGAAGTTCTTATATATTTTGGATATTTAACTCTTTATCAGATGTATGGCTTGCAAATATTTTTCCCATTCTGTAGATTGCCACTTTACTCTGTCTTTTTCTCGAGTGTGCAAATGCTTTTTGGTTTGTTATAATCCCACTTGTTTATTTTTGTTTTGCTTGCCCATGGTTTTTGTTTCATATCCAAAATATCTATGCCCAGAACAGTGTCATGGAGTTTTCATCCTATCTTATATTCCAGTAGTTTTACAGTTTCAGATCATAGGTTTAAGTCTTTAGTCCCTTTTGCGTTGATTTTAATACCTGGTGTAAGACAAGGGTCTGATTTCATTCTTTTGCGTGTGAATATCAAGTTGTTCCAACACCATTTATTGAAGAGATTGCCCTTTCCTCATTGTGTGTTCTTCGCACCATTATAAAAAAAATCAACTGACTGCAAATACATAGATTTATTTCTGGGCTTTCTATTCTATTAATCCCTGTCTCTGTTTTTATGCCAGTACCATGATGTTTTAATTACTATAGATTTGTAATATACTTTGAAGTCAGGTATTATAATGCCTCCAGCCTTCCTCTTTTTGCGTAAGAGTGCTTTAGCTATTTGGAGTCTTCTATGGCTCCATACAAATTATAGGAGTTTTTTTCTATTTGTGTGAAAAATGTAATTGGAATTTTGATATGTTACTAACATATGTGTTTTGATATGTGTTACTAACTAACACACATTTCTTCCAGTTTGAAGAAGAACCTTTAGCATTTCTTATGAGATGTGTCTGCTGGTGATGAACTCCCTCAACTTTTGTTTGTTTAGAAAAGTCTTTACCTCTCCCTCATTTCTGAAGGACTGCTTCTCCAGTTCCAGTATTCTTGGTTGGCATGTATTTTGTTTTTCCTTCAGCACTTTAAATGTATCATCCCAGTCTCTGATTAGAAATCCACTCTTGGCCTTATTGGTAATTTCATATGTTATGGGTTTCCGGTTTTATGCTTGCTTTTAGGATACTCTTGTTGTCTTTTATTTTTGACAGTTTGCTTATAACATGGATTAGGCTAGTCTTGTTTGGATTGCATCTGAATGGAGACATTGGCAATCCCATACCCATATATCTTTTGCCAAATTTAGAAAGTTTTCTGCTATTATTTCTTTAAATAATCTTTCTACCTTTTTGTCTTTCTCTTCTCTTTTATGAACATCTATGAGCTGAGCATTTGCTCTTTCAATGCTGTAAATCCTGCAAACTTTCTTACTACCTTTCCATTCTTTTTTTCTCCTTTGATTGTATATTTTCAAATAACCTCTCTTCAAGTTTACAGATCCTTTCTTGTGCTTTATTCTGCTATTGATGCTATCTATTGCATTTTATTTTTTTCATTGCATTTTTCGTCTTCAGAATTTCATTTTGATGTTTACATTTCAGCCTCTTTGTTACATTTCTCATTTTGGTTACTTATTTTTTTCCTGATTTTATTAAATTGTTTCTCCATGTTTGCTTGAAGTTCACTGATCTTTCTTAGAATAATTATTTTGAATTATTCACCAAGCATTTAGTATATATCCATGTCTTTGAGTTCAACTACTAGAAGATTGTTTCATTTTTTTTGGTGGTTTTATGTCCTCCTGGTTTTTCTTGCTCCATTCCGCTTATGTCTGTGCCTTTGAAAGAAGTAGAGACTTATTCCAGTCTTCACAAACTGGCTTTTTCTGGAACACCCTTCACCAATCAGGCTGTCCAGAGATGTTCAGCAGGCCATCTGGCACCATCCAAGGGAATGCTTACTGCTAATATCTTTGAGTAGGCCCTGGGTCAGCAGGTGAACAGACCCAGAGCCTGTATCTCTGGTGGCTGGCTTGGAACCTGGTTCACAGAGGCTGGCCTGGCTCTGGGGTGAGCCTTGAGCATGAGTCTTCTGGGACTGGACAGGTACTAAGATGGGCCTAGTGCTTGGATCCACTGTAATGGACCTGAATCCTAAGTCCACAGGGGCTGACCTGCTGTTGCAGTAGGTCTAGATCCTTGGTCCATGGAAGCAGGTGTGAGTCTTGGTTTTCCAGTGGCTGGCCTGGAGTCTGGGTCTATAGGGGTCATCTTGGTACCTCAATCCATAGGGTTAGACATGGCATCAGGGCTTACTGGGGTGGGGCTGGCCTCTGGGTCTGCTGAATCAGGCCTAGACCCTGGGTCACTAAGGAGGGCATAATCACACCTACCTTATCCACTTAACAAGAAAATTTTTTAAAATTACTAAAGAAGTAGTATCTTCCCCATAATTCATAGTAACCTTTGTTGTCTTCTCTTGAGACTTTGACTTCTGGGGAATCTTTCAGCATCCAAAGTTAAGCACATAGGAATCCTGATATTACTAAATATCTCAACTTCAAGAATGTGGCTCAGAATTCCTATCCATAATTAATGTATTTATTGGATACCAAGAAATATATAGATCACATATATCAATAAGATAAAAAGATAAAAAGTCATAAGATTATAACAGAGGCAGATTACTTGATGGCCCAGTTAATAAATTATTTGAAATGGGGTTGCTATACAGTTCTTCCTCCATAATTTCTTTAGACATGCTGCAGTGAAACCTTTGTTCTTTTAGCCTTTCTCACTTTTCAATAATAAATATTGGTGCTCACTATATTTGGGGCTGGATTCAGAATCAGACATAAGGGACTCTAATTCCAGGCTATAGCATCAGTGTCAAGTCATACTCATGGCTGTCACTGGGAAGTTACATTAGAAAACAACTTCTGTTTCTGAACAAATACCCTGTCCCTTGGCTTTCCTTGACCAAAGGTAGAGTGAATTAGAAAAGAATATAAGGATAGAGTAATTTCAAGAGTAAAGGGTTTGCTCATTTCTGTTAGCAGTGGCAGACCCAAGTTGGTGTGGCCTAGAAAAACCTCTATTATACAAGGAGGTATGTACAATAACCTCTCCTACATAACCTGTGTTATGTATAATGTTATATTTACCTTGCTTTAGTCAGATTGTCTATGGAGAAGACTCTAAGGTAAGAGTAAACATGAAAATTTATTAGAGGAAATATCTGTGAGAGAAGGAGGAGGGGAGGCCTTGGAAGCTGAGAGAGCCATCAGAATACACTGCGGATATGAGTCTGTATGAAGGAGAAAAGGAAGGAAGGGAAGGGTGAACACATCTGAGACTGCAGTGCAGTTATAAAGAAGATTCAACAATATCCTCCGGAAGTCCTAGAATCCAAGTTTCCCATCGAAGTATTTCTGTGTCTCCCAGGAGCAGACCTACTTTTAGTGTCCCTGCTGTTCTCAAACATTGACTGGGAGCAGCAAATGGAAAGAATTTGCCTTGGCATGAATGTGGAGATAAATTTCAGACAGCAGCTGGGGCCATGGGTCAATTATTCCGTCTGCAAGGAGAAATCTAAATGGCATTCTCATGGCTGCCACGTATTCTACAGTGTGGTCTTTGTTTGATGACTACTTGTCTTCTACAGAATAGGGATGAACAATGACAAAACATAAACTCTTTTCTTAAACGAAAACCCCAAAATGCTATAACTATCAACCTATTTCTAATTGAGGATTAGTAAGCTTATAGCAAGAATATATTCCAAGTTGCTTGGCAGCTTGATCACTAGAGAAAACATCTGTTGTTTATCAGGAAATCATGCCAATCCCAAGTATTCCCAAATATTCCCAAATATATTCCCAAATATTCTTGAACACAGATTATATAACAATATAATTTTTTATCATTCTCTACAACAGAAAGTATTTACTTCTTCTCACTGCTACATAGTTTAAATCATTTTTTTCTGTAAAGTCTGACATCCTGAAGCTATTGCAAAGCTACACAGTCATTTATGTATCCATTTGTTATCATGAATTTCATTATTTTTAAATTCCCCTAAATGACTGAATTTTATAACAGATCCAGATGCTCTATACAGAGGCAAAACTATTTTATACCTATAATGAGCACATTTTACAAGAAAAATACCACATATTTTAGTGTCCCTGAAGCATACTTAAGACCTAGTTATTGGTTACTTCAGCAAAGGTCAGTTCTATATTTTCAGCCAATTTATAGTTTGCTTGTTTTGAGTCTGGGGTACTTGTTATAGGCTGATGCAAAACAGAAACATATTTATATGTTGATTATAAATAAGGGCAACATATAAATGTAGCATTTATTCCATGTCTTATCTTGTTCTCGGTAAATTTAGTGATGATATAACATATAATACTCAAGAGGTCCTGTTTGTTTGTTGCTAAAAATAGTTGGCTTTCAGTTGTGATGATATACAAAGGGCACATTTATAGAGTGTAATGGAATTTGATAAAGACCTCATTATGTCTCTGCTTTGTTCTGAAAATGTCAAACAAATATAGTTTTGTTCACAATGGGTAGAACATAGAGCACACATAGAGCAAAAGCTGAAGGCTAAAATTTTTTATTTGGCCTTAGTTAAAAATAACTACAAAAGTTGTATAAAACATGGTTGTTTTTAACAAGTGACTTTGTTCAGTAAAATTACCATAAAATGTGTCTCTATTGGGCAATGAATTTGCTCCCTTAAACTGTAAGTGAACTTACCAGCTTTATGTTGATTATTGTACTACTCTGCAAATAAACTCAACAATTTTGTGCTAACTAACTCGTCTGGTAGCTTGGCTTTAGCCTTTAGCCCCTTTGAAATAGAGATTGCCTATAGCAATATAGATTGCTTGTCCAATTATAACAAATGTAATTAGAAGTTCAAAAGAAAAGGGCAAAAAAAGCCCTTAATCAAACTTAACCAAAGTTGCCAAGGTAAGACAACTTTTGTGTAAATACATTTACATTTGTAATGAAAATGATTGGTTACTATGTCTTAAAAATTAATGCTATTTTAAACAGTTTCTATACCTGGAATAGCTTTTTTCTCTACATTTTTCTATATATGCAGATCCTATCCATCCTGTTCAACCAACTTTTCACAAACCTTCTGCTGAATCCCAGAGCTGGAAATAATCACTGCTTTATGTAATCAAGTCGTTCATGGTCATTTCTTGTACTGTTAAAAATATATTGGAATCAATTTTGACATATTACAATATTCTAAAAGCTCATTTCATGAAGGGCATTTACTTTTTAATGCCTTATTTATTTTTATCAAAGTATATGAAGGGGATATAAATACATATTTTACAATAACCACTATATATATATTTCCTTTCATCTCCTATTCCCATATTCTCTGAAACTTCTCTGTTTGCATCAATTTCTCAGTCCTGAAATATGTCTCCTTCCATCCTCAATCCATCATCCTGTATCATATGGCTGTTTCTCTCATTGTCTTCCTTCCTTTATCTTCTGTATTTTAATTATACCAATGATTTGACCTTTCTTTCCTCTAGGTCTTGGAATTCTGATGGACAAAACCAACATTGCCTCTGGCAGGAAGGAAGAAAAAGAAGTCAATGAATATCTTGTGCTAAAATTTGTGTCTTGTTTTCTTTGAAGTCAATGTAAACACTTCATTGAGCACCTACTATGTGTCATGCACTGTACCAAGTAAATAACTGAGATAGAACAGTGAACGAGGTAGATTCATGCCTGGCTCTCCTAGAGCTGATAGTGTTACGGAAATTCAGACAAGTGAACAGACAACTATAAGACATTCTAATTATTATTCTTAAGAGTATTTCTGAGGGAAAGATATGGTATAGTGGAGGGATAGAGAAGAGTTATCCAGCAAAACGTTCTAAAGAGCCTGGGATGCTCAGGAAACTGTAAGTCATTCATTTTGCTGGATCATAGCATCTGATGTGATATTTCAGAGTTGAGTGGTAATTCAGAAACATATCACAAATAGCCTCACAAAACATATTACAGAATTCCTTCATCATATTTTATTTAGTATACGTTCTTCCCCCTTGTCAACACTTTGAAAGCAAAGATTGTTTTACCCACACATATATTTTGAAGTACCATTCACAGCACCCAACACCAAGTGAGTTCTCATTGTCTTCCTATGAATTTCATTATATAGAATTACTTGTCTTGTTAATAATAATGTATATCCGTCATTAGCATCCATACCCACTAAAAACTGTCCTTTGTGACTCAGTTTTCTTAGTGTTTCTGATCCATTGAAACATCTCATCAAATAGACACAGTAATACCAAAGTTTTCTACTTAAGTAATGGCTTATATGGTCCATATGAAGAACTTGAAACTTAAAGAGATAACTTGCCCAAGAGCATACATTAGAAATGAAAATTACCTATATATAGCACATCTTTTGTTTCATTTTTCCTTCACTGCTTTCCTCCTGCCACAGAGAATAAGAGGTGGAAAACTGGGAAACTGATATTTAAGACAAGTAGAAAACAATTCCTCTATCATCACTTCTCCAAAATCTTAAGAGACGTTGCATCCTAGAAGATATAGTTATCACAAATAAATTTTATTTATATATATATAAATAAATTTTAGAGGTGGTAGTTTCTATCATCAGAACAATTTAACAGTAGACACTATGAATTACTGATTCTATGAACAGAATTGAGCCAAATAAAAATTTTCCTGGGATCCAAACAATATGCAGACTCATTAGAGAAGAGATGCTCCAGGTGTATGTTAAAACCCAAGGTTTAAATTTGAAGTGTTATTTCCAGCTGCAAATTGGAGTTTCTGATGATAGTCACATAGAAGAACTGAGTTCTAAGCTAAGAACAAATCCTACTACTTCTCTGTTGGCAAAAAAATATATATATATATATTATATATATACACGTGTGTGTATATATACTATATACACACACGTGTGTATATATATAGTATATATACACACGTGTGTATATAGTATATATATACTATATATACTATATATATACTATATATACATATAGTATATATATAGTATATATAGTATACTATATAGTATATATACTATATAGTATATATATATTCTACATATATACTATATATACACACGTGTGTATATAGTATATATACACATATATAAACGTATATATATATACACACACACACATATATATATATATATTTCTCCTTGGTTCATGAATGTGTTAAAAAAGTGACAGAAAAAATGAAAGTCAAAATCATCTAGAAAAGACTCAGTATTACTTGTGACATAGTAATTATTTGTTAATTATGTAATTAACACGATTGTCAGTTACGATAATTGTCCACCACTATCCATTCTCACTGGTATCCTTTCCTGTCAAGGTTTTAGCTGGGCATTTGAGCACCTAGTTATACATGTCATTGCCCAGTTTTCTCTTGCTGATAAACATGGCTATCTGACTAAGCTTTGGACCAAGCTTGATATGTAAACTGAAGTAACATATTCAACTTTTGGAACATTTGCTTTTAAGGATATATTTTTTAAAAACAGTTTTAAAAAGCACACCAATAACAACTTGTACTGAAGTCTCAAAAAATAATTTTATTTAAATGAAATACAAAAAAGCAGCTTTCACATTATCGGAGTTTGACAATGTAGGATTTTATATGAAAAGTGTGAAGTTGGGGCCATATGCTGTGGCTCATGCCTGCAAGCCCAGCACTTTGGAAGAACAAGGCAGGTGGATCACTTGAGGCCAGGAGTTCCGAACTAACTTGGCCAGCATGGTGAAACCCTGTCTCTACTAAAAATACAAAATCTAACTGGATTTGGATTTGGTGGTATGCTCCTGTAATCCAGCTACCAGGGATGCTGAGGCACGAGAATCACATGAACCCAGGAGGTGGAGGTTGCAGAGAGCTGAGATCGTGCCACTGAACTCCAGCCTTGGAAACAGAGCGAGACCCTGTCTTACAGACAACCGAAGCTAAAATGGACAAATGGGATCACAAAAAGTTAAAAAGTTTCAGCACAGCAAAGGATACGTTCAACAAACTGAAGAGACAACCCACAGAATGGGAGAAAATATTTGCAAAATACCCATCTTACAAGGATAACCAAAATGTATAAAGAGCACAAACAACTCTCTAAGAATAAATCTAATGATCCAGTCAAAAAAAAGGGCAAAAGATTTAAATAGATATTTCTCAAAAGAAGACATACAAATGGAAAACAGGCATAGGAAAAGGTGCTCAACATTATTGATCATCAGAGAAATGCAAATCAAAACTATAATGCGATATCATCTCACCCCAGTTAAAATGGCATATATTCAAAAGACAGAGAATAACAAATGCTGGTGAGGATGTGGAGAAAAGGGATTCCTTGTGAACTGTTGGTGGGAATGTAAATTAGTGAAACTACTGTAAAGAACAGTTTGGAAGTTCCTTAAAAAACTAAATGTTGAGCTAACATATGATCCAACAATTCCATTGGTTGGTATCTACCCAAAGGAAAAGAAATAAGTATAACAAAGAAATATCTGCATTCCTATGTTTGTTGCAGCACTATTTATAGTAGCTGATGTTGGGAAGTAACATAAGGGTTCATCAACAGATTAACAGATAAAGAAAATATGGTACACATACACAATAAAGTACTATTTAGCCATAAGTGAATGAGAAGCAATCATTTGCAACAACATGGATGGAACTGGAGATGATGAATATGTTAAGGAAAATAAGGCAGGCACAGAAAGACAAACATCATATATTCTCATTTATTTGTGGGATCTAAAGCTCAAAAGAATTGAAATCATGGACATAGAGAGTAGAAGGATGGTCACCAGAGACTGGGAAGGGTAATGGGAGGTTTGGGGATAGGTGGAATGATTAGTGGGAACAAAAAAATAGAAAGAATGAATAAGACCTACTATTTGATAGCACAACAGGGTGACTATAGTCAATAATAACTTAAATGTATATTTTAATATGTCTTAAAGAGTGTAACTGAATTGTTTGTAACTCAAAGGATAAATGCTTGAGGAGATAGATACCCCATTTTCCATGATGTACTTATTTCATGTTCCATGCCTGTATCAAAACATCTCATATACTCCACAAATATATGCACCTACTGTATACTCACAAAAATTAAAAATAAAAATATATAAATAAAATAAAAATAAAAAGTGTTTTTTAAAAAGACAAGCAATAACAAGTGTTAGTGAGGACATGGAGTATATTAGTCCATTCTCATGCTGCTAGTAAAGACATACCTGAGACTGGGTAATTTATAAAGGGAAGAGGTTTAATTTACTCACAGTTCTGCATGGCTGAGAAGGCCTCAGAGAACTTACAATCATGGCAGAAGGGGAAGTAAGCATGTCATTATTCACAGGGCGGCGGGAAGGGGAAGTGCAGAGCGAAAGGGAGAAAAGCCCCTCATAAAACCATCAGATCTTGTGAAAACTAACTCGCTATCACAATAACAGGATGTGGAAAACCACTCCCACAATCCAGTTTTCTCCACCTGGTCCCTCCCACGACACGTGGGGATTATGGGAGCTTCAATTCAAGGTAAGATTTGGGTGGGGACACAGCCAAACCATATCATGGAGTTAAGGGAATCTTGCACACTTTTCTTGGGAATATAAATTAGTACAGTCATTATAGAAAATAGTGTGGAGTCTCCTCACGTAAATAAAAATAGAATTACCATTTAATGCAGCAGTTCCACCTCTGGGTATATAGTTGACTCTTTGGCAACATAGGTTTTAACTGCAAAGATCCACTTATACATAAGTATTCTTCCACCTCTGCTACCTTTGAGACTGCAAGACCAGCCCCTCATCTTTCTTCTCCCCCTCAGCCAACTTAACATGAAGATGATGAGTATGAAGACCTTTATAATGATCCACTTCCACTTAATGAATAATACATACATGTTCTCTGCCTTATGATTTTCTTACTAATATTTTCTTTTCTCCAGCTTACTTTATTGTAAGAATACGGTATAGAATATAACATATGAAATATGTGTTAATCAATTGTTTATGTTTTCAGTAAGGCTTCCAGTCAATAGCACACTACTAGTAGTAAAGTTTTTGGAGAGTCAAAAGTTATACATGGATTTTCAATTGAATGAGGACTCAGTGCTTCTTGCCCCCACATTGTTCAAGGGACAACTATATATTCTAAGGAAATTAAATCCATATGTCAAAAGGATATCTGCATTTCAGTGTTCATTGCAGCTTTATTTACAATAGCCAAGATGTTGTGTCCATCAGTGGATTGGATTTTTAAAATGTGGTATATGTACTCAGTGGAATGCTATTGGGGGTTGATAAAGAAAAAAAATCCTGTCATTTGCAACAACATGAATAAACCTGGATGACATTATATTAAGTGAAGTAAGCCTGGCACAGAAGCACAAATACCATATTATCTCACTTATATGTGGAATCTAAAAAGTCAAACTCAATGAGAGTGAAATGATACTTTCCACGGGCTAGGGCAGCAGGGAGGTAGGAGTTAGAGAGATATCAGTCAAAAGATACAAAATTTCAGTTAGAAGGAATAATTTCCAGGGATCTATTGTACAACATGGTGCCTATGGTTACATATAAATTATCAAGTATACATATTGTATACTTGGTAATTTCTAAGAGAATAAATTTTAAATGTTCTCACTACAAAAAAAGTGAGGTAAATGATATGTTAATTAGCTTGATGTCACCATTCCACAATGTATATACATGTATAAAAACATCATGATGTATCCCACAAATATGTACAATTTTTATCAATTTAAAATTAATGAATTTGTTAAAACAAATAAAGAATAGCACCTAGTACAGTACCCATAAGTGCCTATTAACTGTTATTTATTATTCTCATTTGCTAAGCAGAGAGCACAAATTATTATATTTAATTCCAACAACAGCTTTGTGTGACAAAAACTAGGATAATTGCCATTGTAATGGTAAATGGTAGAGCTGGAATTCGAACTGTGTTTATGTGATTGGAGGGACCACATTGCTTAAAAATATAAAAATATTTTAGATTTTAGTATAAATGACCATGTTTTAAAACACCACAAAAAATAGAAGGTAAATTTTGTAATAAGAAAGCAAAAATTTATATGAAGCTGAGTTAACATCTTTTGTATATGCACATACAATTAAGAAAAAACTGAAAATATCAGTTTTATGAGGATAAACGCAATTCACACAAAAATTAAACAAAAAGAATAGTTGCTCTAGCAAATACATGATTGACCTTTCATCAGCAAAAATAAAAATAAAAAATTTAAAAAAATTATATCCTCAAAAGTAAGGATCAGAAATAATTTTACACTGCAAGCGATATTTAACACTCATATGGCATTTGGAGATGGGCCCTTTTACAACTTTTTCAACTTGAATGTAAGCTATTTGATAACATATATCAAAACCATAAACGTACACAACTGTAGACCTGGTTATTTCACCACTAGGAAATACGAGATGTTTACCTATAAGCTTGTGGATGTGACAATTCTGTATATAAAAGTAAAAAATTGGTCTAGCGCAGTGGCTCATGACTGTAACCCTAGCACTTTGGGAGGCTGATGCAGGTGGATCACTTGAGGTTGAGAGTTCGAGACCAGCCTGACCAACATGGAGAAACCCCATCTCTACTAAAAATACAAAATTAGCCGGGCGTGGTGGCACATGCCTGTAATCCCAGCTACTTGGGAGGCTGAGGCAGGAGAATCACTTGAACCCGGGAGGTGGAGTTTGCAGTAAGCCAAGATCACGCCATTGCACTCAAGCCTGGGCAACAAGAGTGAAACTCCGTCTCAAAAAAAAAAAAAAAGTGAAAAATTGTAAAATAGATATATATCTACATATCATAGTTTTATATAGATATATTTATGATCAATTAGTCATTCCCATTGTTAAATGTTTAAATTATTTTACTCATAAACATCCCATATTTCCTAATGGTGAAATAACTGTGTCAACAGTTAAGCACATTATTATGGTGAATCTTGTAAAACATCTTGTGAAATAGTAGCCTGTACAAACCACATTTCTGGAAATTTTTAAAAAATATTGAAAAGGCTCACCCTAGTGTTGTTCTTCTAGAAGAATCATGAAATGGACACACTGGGGTTTGATAGCAGAGAAGCCTTTTCATTTGGATCCTACAAAAATGTAGTTTTTATGTCATTGCTGGATTCTGAGGGGGCAAGTAGAAAAAGAAAGTAAAAAAGGAAAATTCATGAACTGAAAAAAGAGTGACGTTTTCATAAAATGAGAGAAAATAAGGTCTATTTATAGGTGGAAGGGCTGAACTTGGCATAAAGCACAATTCACTCACAATAAAAAGAGGGAAGGCAAAGTATATGTTCACTGATGCTCCTAGGTAAGTTGATGTAGTGTGAGGACCTTTGTGGAATATATTTTGTGATACTTTCTTTTACATCAATGAAATAGGAAGTAAAGTCATCAACAGAGTGTGAATATCTGAGAGGACATGGTGGAATTTTGAGGAAACTATGAACTTGTTGAGAAAGAATGAGTAAGAATGGGAATGGTCTAGAGGCACCACTGTACATGGTTATTTGTTTTGTTCTAGCCACAGGTACAGCTGTTAATGACAGAGAATTGGATTCAACCAAGACTGAAGTTCTGTCAATGGCTTATAAAATAGAAGAAGGGAACTGAGACTGTATGCCAAGGAATGATTAGAATAATTGGGTAAGTGATGTAAGCAGGTAAGGAAAGAAGCAAGAAATGCTTGAGCTAAATCTGTCTCGGCAAAGCACTTTCACCCCTCTGCAATTTGTATGTGCTTGATCCGTAGATAGTACAGATTTGAAACTATTTGTTGAGGTGATAAAATAGTACTGTCCTGAAACAGAAACTAAAAGTAAAGATTTATATTTTTTTCTTAAAGTGATGAGTTCTTAGGGGTTCATTTTTAATAGTTTGTTTCTCAGTATGTTGTATGCACAGGATTTATTAATCAAGTTTTACTTGAAGTTTTACAAGTTTTACATACAAACTTGCACTTTAACATAATTAATGAAAATGTTGTTGTCTTAGTCTGTTTGGGCTACTATAACAAAAATACCGTAGACTGGGTGACATAAAAACAAGATACGTTTACTTCTCACAGTTCTGGAGGCTGAAAGTTTAAGAGCAAGGGGCCTAGATTGTCTGTTGACAGCCCACTTCCTGGTTTATGGATGCTGTCTTTTAGCTGCATCTTTACTTGGTAAAAGGGGTAAGGTAACTCCTGGGCACCTTTTTTATAACGGAATTAATCCCATTCAGGAGGACTCTTCCTTTATGGCCTAGTCACCTCCCAAATGCCCCATTTCCAAATATCATATGAGTTTATGGAATTCGTTTTCCACACATAAATGTTGGGAGTAGGGGCACAAATATTCAGTTTATCGCAATTGTGATACTAATAATCACTCAAATACCATCTTCTCTGCAAGACCTTCTTGAATGAGCTAAAGCAGCATGATCTTCTGGTCACACTGTATGATATTATTTCAGGTACAGCACATTTCACTACCTAATAATATCTCATTAGCTAATTTGTTAACAAGTATATTGCTGTCTTTTCTTACTACCTTGGGAGTTCCTTGAAGCAAAATAATCTGTCTCATTTGCTGCCATATTTCCATTGGCTAGAATGGTATCTGACTTCTAGCAGATGATTAAATTTTTGAAACACTAACATTGTTAGAATTTGTATGTTTAAAAGGAGGTTTAGAAGAGAGATAAAGATTTTAACAATGTTCCCATTTGATAGAGATTCATAGGTGATTTTCATTTTCTACCTTACATTCCTATATCAAGACTCATTCTTGAAGTGAGATGGCATTTTTTCTGCAAAGTAATTTTCATCCACAGATGCAAAAAAGAACCGAGGAGGCTCATGAGAAAAAAAATTATTTTTTTTTTTTGCATATCTACACATGTTTCATGCTTTGGGGCACTCAACTATGCCTATAAATTTTTAACCTAATCTTTGAGTTTACAAAAGGTTAGTCAACCACATACTGCTTGCATATATTGCATGCCAATTTCTTGGAACATGATTCCAACTCAGGTTGATAGTAAACAGTGAAATTAGAGAGCAAAAATACCTCCTGACTTGTGCTCAAAAGGCAGTGCCTCAGTTAGCTCTAAAAATTTCTTAGATCCAAGACATTCTGCAATACATACATACCTCAGGCTGAGGGTGACTCGGTCAGAGGGGATTATCTCCTCACTTTATCACTAACAGGTAGAAGGTTGAAGGATGTTTCAAGGGTGTCTGGCTCAGAGAAGCTGGGTTAATAATGTAAACGCTATGTTTATTTTTGGCAGAGGTCTGATTCTAGGAAAGCCACCATTTTGCCAGCTCAGATCTGGTGGAGCCAAGGCATTGTTGCATGTAGTAGAACAGACCATCATTGGAGCTATAAGGTCAAGGGTGCCTACAGCTTGGTTAACAGTGACAGTAGAAATGGAAAAATATATCTAGCTCAGCTACCAACCCAGTGAGAGAATCTTGACTCAATGGAGTAGCCAGTGAAAATGGTAGTGTCAGCAGAGATTCAGGACAATGGGCATTGCTAGTGGCAGGTCAGGGTAGGACTGTCCGGGGATTTCCAGCAAAGGTGGAGGCATAAATTATTAATAATAACTGGAAGTAACCTAGGAAGTTCCTTTGCTTCCCAGAACCTCTAATTCTGATCTGTGATGTGAAGATAATAAGTTCTTCATCAGTTTATTATGATTAAAAACCATACCATATGTAAGCAATTAAAAGAATATGAAACAGGAAAAGGCACCCAGTTAAATAGTTGTAATTATTATAATCATTATTAAAGATATAAATATACATAGAGGAAGTGGATATAGCAAATGCTTATGTAAATGTTGATGTTGATATAATGGATGTGTATATTCATTATCTATTACAAAAACATTAATACATAACAAACAGTGACAAAAACTAGTGTCTTAAATAATAAGTATTTATTAAACTTGGGAGTTAGAGGGTTAACTGGTTGATTGTTCTTAGTTGGGCTTACTTATGTCTCAGTGCCCAGCCGGTGGGTCATCTCTGGTTGGCTTTATTGGCCTCTCTCCCATGTCTGGAGCTTAGGCTGTGAAAACTGGGGTAATACAGTTGTGATTCACATGGTATCTCATCCTGCAGTAGACTAGTCTGAGCTTGTCATGTCACAGGAAGGGATTCAAGAGAAATAAAACAAGTACATGAGGCCCCTTGATGTATAGACTCAGAACTGGGCATTCTATTGGCCAGAGTCACAGGGCCCTCCAAAAGAAAAAATAAAGGAAGAGTGAAAGGGACCTAAAGTGTTACTGGGCAAAAGGGAGGCCACCAATTGTAAGTATCCATGCAATCAGTCTACCCCCAATAAGTTACCTTCTCTGGGTAAAGATTCTTTATAAAGCCATCATTTTTATATTTTTATATTTTATCAATTTAATCCAGTGAATTTATACTTCAAGATCTGAAAATGAAGAAAATATTTAAAATAAGAATAAATGCATAAGCTTTCCATTGTAGACCAAGTTTTTAAAGTTGAAATATAAAAAATTTTTAAGTAATTTGTGACATCAAGAACTGAAAAATATTAGAAAAATTTTCAAAAGAAGTAGTAAAAGAAGGGAAAGAATTGAGTGGGAAGGTCTGCAATTTGATTAATAAACCATATTTTCTCCCGGGCAGTAATAATATACTTCAGCACCTAAAATTCTCTACCATCTGCTGTCATGCTAAATGAATAAATCTCAGCTAAGTACCACCACACACCTGAGATATTTATGTGCTATATTTATGGATAAAATAGTTTAGAAGGTATTGAGGTGAAAAAATGGCAGTTTCCTGAAATAAAAATCACTAGTAATTTAAAAAATTTAGTGTCATGATTCTTTGTAACAGTAAATCAGGTATCTCCATAGTAAATGAGAAGCAGCCTCTTGTTTTACAAATATAACCTATCTGGAAGTGAGAAAAGTGCAATCTGGCCCTGGGTTTGTCTTTAACAAAATGATGTTAGAAAGGAACTTTTCTTAATTGAAGCTTAGCTGTCATATCTGTAAAATAAGAAGTCTACATTAAGATTTGAAGTCACTCTTATCCTCAACATTCTCTTTTCTAGAGTTTCTCTATCGATTACTTAAGTAAAATGGGGCCCTAGAGAGGAGAAGCATTTGCAGGAACTCACTAGCTAAAAAAGGCTGCATAAACTTTGACAAATACCGTACTCTGTCTCTCAATTTCCTCAACTATGGATAAAAATAGTAGCAACTTACAGGGTTGGTGAGAGGTTTAACTAGTTACTTAATGTTAAGTACCCAGAGGAATGTTTGGAGAATAACACAGATTTTCATCATATCACTTTGGTGGTAATTTTACCCTCTCTCCTCTGCTGATCCATGTCCATTTTCTCTGTTCTGCTCTGTTCCTGTAAAGCATGACCCCAGCAAACTTCACTAGTTGGGCCCCTTGCTAGTTGCTTCCCATTTGGTCAGCCAATGGGAGACGCTGACAAGAGATGAGAAAGTGAGAGGAGGGAGACTTTGTGCTGTTTCTTCCCTGTCTGAATCCTGGTGCCATATGTCTACCAATTGACTATAATTTCTATCATATGGCCACTCCCTTTAAGGTTTCAGCTCTCACTGGGGTGAAATAACACTATATTGTCCTCTTGACTCATCAGCCATAAAATCAGTACCCAGTTTTCCACTGAGGCTGGCCTTAGGTGCTGCAAAATCCCATCTTTGTTCTGTAAAACTTACTCAAGCTCTTCACTGAAGTCTTTTCATTTGAACCATGTGAATAGAATTTTGTTTTCTGTCTGGATCCCATTTCATAATTATACTGAATTTGTGACCCAGACATTTTACTAACAATTTGCTAAGGGAATATGATAAGATCATTTGTTCTCTTTGTTCTTTTCATCAGACTTAGATACAAAAGCTCTGGTTTGATGAAGAGTATTTGAAGGAAATGAATAAGAATTAGGAATGAATTAGGAAAAGATTATCAGAAAGGAGAATAGTAAAGATACTAAAGCAATTCTCATGGTATGCATTGAAGACAAACATGAGGATGATAAGGAAATTTGTATATGGGAATTAATTTGAAAAGAGTATGATTATGATGCAGATGATGAAAACAGCATCTTCTATGGGGTGCCTACAAATGCCAGGTGGAACTTTTAAACACATTATCTTACTTAATGTTCATTACAACTTGCCTCCTATGTAGCTGTTCTTTCCAGTTCTTCATGCGCCTCCCTGTTTAGTTCTGGATACCTTAAGTATCAGGAATCTAGTAAACATTGAATATTTGAAAGAATTAAGGAAGAAAAGTTAAGGAAAGTGTCTTGGAACAGTTATAAAACCAAAAATTATGAAAAACAGTTACTTTATAGGTTTTTTTGTTTAGCTGAATATCAAATTGACTTTTGCCTGCCTTACTAGCTGGATAAAAATGAACATCTGGGCCTTGAAAGCTACAGGCACTTCTCAACAAAATTAAATAATTCCTCCTCTGCTGTGTTATTGAAATTTATTTATTTCTGTTTTAGCTCTTGCCACTTTCCTATAACTATTGGAGTATTTATTTTCCTTTATTTATGTAAAGTAATTCCTGGATATCAGGAGGTAGACTTTATTCATCTTTTCATTTCTAAACAATTACCTGATACACAGTATGGTTTTGAAGTAGTGAATGAAGAAATAAATAAATAATTGCAAGTAAAATTCTGCTGGCTAAAATTGACCCATTAATCAATACTAGCAAGGAACTTTTACAGGAGCTACAAATCATCTTAAATATGCTACCTGATATCATGAGATTGGCAAAATTTATTTAACACTAAAATACTTGGAATATGTTGATGAAGCATCAAAGCACATGTTTATATTAAAGTAGAAATAGTAATAATAACCTCATAGATCAATTTCTTCTGTCAGGCAGATTCATTGTGAATGATCCTTGGTACACACACATTTAATTTATTTTAAACATCAAATAATATGAAATATATAGAATATCACAATTCTGTACGTAATATATACCCTGGTTCTTAGTTGGTAAATGATGCCTCTGCATCGAAGCCCAAGCGCAGCATTGTGCATTCACACATCAGGTCGTCTCTCCTACAACTTTCTCAGGTCCTCACTTCTGACCAATGTTTCTTAAAGTCTAATATTACATCATAATAATGGGAAAAATATTGAAAAACATTCACCATTTTCTTACATTACACATGAACATTAAATAATATATACTTCAGAGACCAGGCACGGTGGCTCACGCCTGTAATCCCAGCACTTTGGGAGGCCACGTTGGACAGTTGACTATATCAGGAGTTCAAGACCAGCCTGGCCAACATGGTGAAACCCCATCTCTACTAAAAATACAAACATTAGCTGGGCATAGTGGCATGTGCCTGTAATCCCAGCTACTCAGGAGGCTAAGGCGGGAGAATTGCTTGAACTGGGACCCGGGAGACGGAGGTTGCAGTGAGCCGAGATTGCTCCATTAAGCTCCACCCTGGGCTAGAGAGGGAGACTCCATCTCAAAGAAAAAAAAAAAAAAAAAAAAAAAAATATATATATATATATATATATATATATATACTTCAGAAGAAATACACACAGAGACACACACACACACATATGCCATTGACATTTAGAAAATAATATATTTTCGGAAACATTGTCTTTCTGAAATAACCACCTTAAACACCAGAATAATGCTATGTTTTAATCAGGACACTAAATAAAAGTTCACTATTCAAAATTTTTCTGAATAAAGGAAACAATTTTAGTTTCCTATGAATGATTCCTGTAGAATATATTCACATGTCAAGTATTTACCATATTATTCTCCCACAAAACGATATAATGTAGAAATTTTTATTAACATCTTTTACCTCATATAACACTAGTCAGTCACAAAGTCTTGCCAATTCCATTTCTGAAATTGTTTCTGCATCTTTGCCTTTACCAGTTCTTAATTTCTGTAGCCATTTCATTTCCTTAGATTTCTTTTAGACCTGGCTATTATTTCCTTTTAATATGCCTACTGCAGTATCTCCTGATAGTCTGTCTTAAAGCTCCACCCTCTACCATTGCACATTTACATGCCAATCTGAGTTATCTTCCTAAAATACAGATTTGGTTGTTCCTAAATTTATTCTAAAAGACTTTGCCCTTTCACCATTGCTTAGAAAAAAAATGAGATCATTCTCTGAACAATTAATTTAAGGATATTAACATCTGACCACTGCTGATCTTTTCAACCCAATCCTGGCTGATTATCTTATTTCTACCATACACTCACTGACTGCCTCAGGATCCATTATCTTGCTCTTTGACTTCCAAATCTATGGCTCTGATCCTGCTGTTTTTTCTGCCTAATGTTCTACAGAGACCAATTCATATCACTTACTTTACGGAAAAATTATTGACATTACACAATATAGTGCAACTTTTCATATGCTCTTAGAACATAAGAGCATAAGAGGATACCCTTATGCTAACAGCATACCCTTGTACTCTTAGAACAGGGATTATCTTACTTATATTTCTGTACCCAGAACATAGCATATGGTCTATCATATAGTAGAAGTATGGAACATGGGATGACTTGTTAATGTAACTTTTAAAAATAATAATTTTACGTTTCCTTTAACATGTAGCTTATGAGCCTAGGGTCTGGCCACCAAAAGGCAAATAGAGGCAATGTTTGGGACTTTCTGTGATGGAATATTTTTTTCCAATTTATTATTCAAATAGAAGATGAAAGACATTCTGCCTCTTACCTTAAACCATCGAATTTGTATCATATCCTGAGGTATTACAGCAAGATGACTTTTTAAAGCTGGGCTAGCTGGGCTGAGCTGGCCTGGATGATTTTTTTAAGCTGCCAGTCTTAAGTTTTCAAGAAAATATATATACACATATTCATATACACATATATGTGTGTGTTTGTGTATATATGAAGATATGATTTAATCTTCACCTCACAGATTATAAAATATCTAGGCTGGGCACAGTGGCTCATGCCTGTAATCCCAGCCCTTTGGGAGGCCGAGGCAGGAGGATCACCTGAGGTCAGAAGTTTGAAACCAGCCTGGCCAAGATGGTGAAATGCCATCTCCACTAAAAATACAAAAATTAGCCAGGCATGGTGGCAGGCGCCTGTAATCCCAGCTACTCAGGGAGGCTGAGATGGGAGAATCGCTTGAACCCAGGAGGCAGAGGTTGCAGTAAGCAGAGATCATGCCCCTGCACTCCAGCCTGGGTGACAGAGCAAGACTCCTTCTCAAAAAAATTAAAAAGAAAAATAAATAAATAAATAAATATCAAGTCTAGGAGAAATAAGTTTCTAAAATAATATAAGTAAACATTACAATATCAAGAAACATGTTTATTAATGATATGAAATAAAACACAAAAATGTAAATTATAAAAGGTGTTATAAATTAAGCACCCTAAAATTAAGAATAAGTCTTTTTAAAAACACAATGAAAACAATAAGAAAGATCAAATGAGTTCAGGGACATTCAGGGTTGTATGGTAATCACTGAACAATGTATATGTATATCAAAATATCACATTATGCACGTTAAATATATGCAATTTTTATTTTTCAATTAAGCCTCAACAAAGCTTGCAAAGAAAACCATTAGGAAATTTAACCACAATAGGTGAAAATATATTTATAATATACATAATTGACAGAGTACTATTATCCATATTATATATTTTTAAAACTTCTGTAAATCAAAAAGAAAGAACGTACAACATAATTAAAATAAGAATAGGTATTTCACATAAGCTAAGAAAATATGACTCATAAACATATGGATAGAATAGTGAATGACACATAGTAAAAGATCAATAATAAATATTTATTGGATGAATAAATAAATTAATAAAAGAATAGCAAAAATGACAGAGAAATGAGAAATGGAAAATAAATCCTACATGAAATGTGTTTTACATCCAGTAAGTTTTCAGAAGTAGTCTAAAATGTCAATTTTGGCAATGGTAAATCCAAATGAGAGCCAAAAGTAGTTTACCTACAATAGACAACAATTTGGCATTATCTTATGAAGCTGAACTTCACAATTCTACTTCCAGACATATAGCCTAAGTATGTATTCATGCTCTTGTGCACCAGGAGACATGTATACAAATATTCACAGAACTATTAGTTTCAACAGAAAACACTGAAAGCAACTTAAATTTTTTTTGGCGGCAGAACATATAACAAATGACCCTCCCTACACACACGTGCACACACACACACACACACACACACACAATAGACGGCATACGGTAGTGAAATGAATGAAATTCAGCTACCTTCAATAAGAATGACTCTTAAAATACAATTGTAAATGAAGAAAAGCCAGTCACAGGAATACAGATAGAGCAGGCTTTTTGTTTTTCTAAATAACCTTAGAACAAGCAAAAACAACTGATATAGTATTGAGAAATGTCCTTGTATGTGTCAAAACGACTTTAGAAAAATAAGGAAATGCTATATCTAATATAAATGACGAGTTAATGGGTGCAGCAGACCAACATGGCACATGTATTCATATGTAACAAACCTGCACGTTGTGCACATGTACCCTAGAACTCAAAGCATAATAAAAAACAAAGAAAAATAAGGAAATGATAAACACAAAGTTCAAGATAGTGGTTACTTCTTTAGTGAGGCAGTGCATGCTATCCAGGAGACACAAACAGGTAGTTCACAGTGTTAATAATTCCTCATTCTTAGATGATGGATTCTAACATGTTTGCATATGTTGTAATACATAAGTTACATCTACTTTACATATGTGCTTTTGAATAAAATATAACAAAGTAAAACTGTTTTATATAGACAATGGAGAGGATTCCCAAAAAGAAAAAGAATGTATCCTCCCCTCAAATTATTATTTTCTTTCATGATTCACACAATCTTTGTCTTCTATCCTTAATTTTAATCTCATTTAAAATAATCTAAAACTTCCCTAATGTATAAAAATTTGACCTTTTTTTTATCTTTTAGGTAATTCAGAATTCCATCCCCTAGTGGTTACTAAAATCTGTATATCACAGAAACTACAAAAATTTAACTTACTAAAATAGTTGTTAAATTAGTTTTAGATATCCAAGGTTTAAATCTTTCCAGTCCTTGGGGAGCTGGCTACACTTTAGAAGTAGGGGCAACAAACCCAGGAAAGGAGTGTCAATACCTGACGAATCCATACTTTCATCATGTTGCTGGACAAGCTCCAGACCAATATCTTTATCCTTTAAGATTTTATTTATTCCTGATGAAAGCATAGAGCATTAATTCAGCTCACATTGTTGAAAATACATACTGTGGGACAAATAATATGATAGGCTCTGGGGATGTAAAAATATCTTTTTATAGGATATACAGTCTACATTTAAAATTGCACATTACAGCCAATATATTTAATTAAAAGGATGCATATTACTATGTAACATGCATATAGCTCAGCGGAAAAAATTTACACCTATGATAAATATAACAACTCTATTCTAGGATGGGAAAACAGGAAGATATGTGTAACTCTTCCTAATCCGGAAAAATTCTTCTCTGTGTTTTTACCAAAGTTATTTCTACGTCCTTGATTAATCTTTATTCCATTCCACCACTGCAAAGCTTTAACTTCCCATTTTCTGTTTATTGTTTGTTTTTGGTTCTTGTTTGGTTTTTGTTTTCTATAATTTGGACTTCTAGAAATTAATAGTATTAAGGAATTAAGAAATTGCTAGCTACTCACATTTACCTTGTCCCACATGCATTGATGACCAAGCCACTGTCTGCTTAAATAGAACAGGGAGGCACTTGGGAGGAGCAGAGTATTGTGATTAACATGCATATGAAAAAAGACAAAATATACTTACATCTCGTTAGACCTCTTAGGGAATATTCCATGGGGGTGGAGTGGTGGTACTTGAGCCCTCCAAGCAAGTACCTTTTTACAGTATCTTTTATTAATATGGACACACAACTGTTCCTGTAATTAATTGAAGATTGTAGACCTTAAATCACAGATAATTTTATGACATTATTTAATGTGATTGCTTCACTTTTTTTGCATAAGTGCTGTTGGAATTAAGACAGAGTATTTGCTTTAAACCATACAATGTTAAAGAATTACTATTATATTGATAAGAACAGGGCAGGGAAATACCAAGTAGAAAAGAGTGGGGTCCCTGGTGAGGGCTCCACCCTCCAACCTGGACCCATGGCCCTAAGGGAGAACATGCATTCCTGTTTTCCTGCACAAATATTACCTTTTCCAAAACCACCCTGGTACATCACAACCCCCATCCTGTACCCATAAAATCCCCAGATTCCACTGGCAAAGTGGAGTGGTGTAGCAGAGAAGGAGAGAAGGAGTCAAGAGGAGAAGAAGAAGCTGAAGATTGCAGTCTGCGGTTAGTCAGAAAGGAGTTTGGCTGGGGATGGTTAGAGAGAAGTTCAGCCTGTTCGGTTCAGGGATGGCCAGACTCCAGGGGAAGACCATCTTACCAATCCATCCCTTTTCCAGCTCCCCATCCTACTGGGAGCCACTTCCATTGCTCAATAAAATTCTCCACATTCACTACCCTTCAACTGGTTCGTGCGACTTGATTCTTTCTGGATGCTGGACATGAACTCGGGCACCAAGAAGGCGGGTGCAAAAGGCTGTTACCCTGACCCTCCACTGAGCTGGTTACCACTTAGCCATCTGCGGATGGCAAAGGTGAAAGAGCACACTGTATGTAACACACGCCCTCTGGGGCTCTAGGGGTCAATGGCAACACCTAGAAGCTGCTGCTGGGGTGCCAATATAGGATTCATTTCGTCCCCCTCCTGCACCTGCTCGCCTACATGCTTCCTCCCCCTCAAGGGGTTTGAGAGCTGTGGGCTGAGTAAGTGAGTCACCCCCTCACAAGTCCTGTGAAGGGGTCAAGGAACTATCCTGTCTCAATATAGAGATCCTATTGCAGCTACTAACACAACTGTTCTTGCTGTCCCACCCCAAGTACTCCTCTGGGTCCAAACTGCTTAAATCACAGCCACCTCTCTCTTCACCATCAGTCTGAGCTACATAGAGTCTGGAGTGGTGAGGACTGCTAATAGCCCTTTTCTCTTCCTGAGGCACAAGATCCTTTTTTCCCCAATGAGGTTTAACTGTGGGGCAGCAAATGAAGGAGGCTGCATTAAAAGTCTGTTTTCTTGTCATCAGACATATTGTGTGTCTGTTCACTAGGGAAGAGCCAACCCAGAGGGAAAGAATCTGCTCTTGGTTTCATTTTTGAATTAGGAAATTAATTTTTAATCATACTACATCAATTAACAACTAAATATTTTTGCAGCTATAATTAATTAAATTGTTGTATGTGCTAGAAAGAAAGGAAAAAGTACAGGGTATTAGAAACTTCTGTAACAACGAGATTAAATAAATCTTGGGTTCTCTAAAAAATAATGTTTAAGCTTGAAATGAAGCTATGCTTGCATTTTGCTTATAGAAAAGTAAACCAAACAGTATAACAGGGAGAATCCATAAATCAGGCATTAGTATTAAGATCTAATTTTCTCCAACTCTGGGAGAAGTGAGTGGGATGCCTTTCTCAATTCCTCCTTTCCCTACTCTGTGCAAAGTCATACCAAACCACTCTTCCCTCTCAAGTCTGAAGCCTCATCTACTGTAGACAGCCCTTTTGTATTACAGTATTTTTTCATATTTGTTTCTACTAAGGTGATGTTCGTCACATAAAAATCAGATATTTTCCTTATTCATTTGCTTTTCTTTGTTAGAACCTTATAGATGATACATGATACATAGTAAATTCTTAATAAATATCTAGTTAATGTGGCATTGAATATCACTTAGCTGTTTATTTTAACCACACGCTACACTAACTACACTATTCATCATTATACTTACAAAATACTTTTTCTTATTACAAAATTACAGTAGTCAGCTACAAAGTGATCACCATATGGAATTATCTGACATTCATCCGCTCAAAATGACAATCACTGATCCAAAATGGAAGATCTTCCACAAGTTTATTTTTCAGCATTTTAATTGCAATTATATTGTTATAAGTTATCAAAGTAAGAAATATTAAATTAAAAGTCACAAAGACTCAACCATTGCATTTCAGATACTCTGCTACATTCTATACAATATATATAAATTTCATTTTAAAATTTCTCATTTACATTAATCAGAAAATATCATCTGTGATGGGTAGATTTTAATTTTAGTGCTGCCCTAAACCTATCTAGAAGTCATTCAAATGTAAATCATCATAACTGTCGACTAACAGTTTTACTATGCATCTGGGATCTGAAATCATTTAAAAATTTCCTCATACACTATATAGTGTTGATATATTCATTGGTGCTTATGAATATAAGATTTTTCCTAATAATTAAAAACTCTGTATATCATTGTAAAACATATTTCTTTTAAAAATCCTCTTTGGAAGTATAAAAATATACATATTCTAATATTTCTAATAAATGATACATCTCTATGTGAAATAACATCTAGTGAAGTAATTCTTTTCAAAACACAAAAAGTCACAAAAATTTTGTTTTCACTTAGTACAGTTCTACAGCTCTCCATCTTTGATGCCCTTTCAATTAATTTTTTTCTATCATAGAGTAAATTTTGTGAGGAAATACTATTGTTAAACTAAAAAATCTCCCTTTTATCAGGGATGGTGCTGTACCAACCAGCGTAGCTGTCTGTCCTTCGGCCCACACATATCTGAATCTGATATTACTTGGACAGTCTTGTAGCATCAGACTCAACTCAGACACTGAGACTGTACAGACCTTTCCTTGACAGCAAGACTTTGCTTAACTCTTGAGTTCAAGTACTGAACATGTATTCATCAAGTCAGTTGTGTTGCTGGTCCTACTGTGATCTTCAACTCTGGTTTTCCTAATTGCTTTGTTTCTTTTTACCGCTACTGCCACTCTGAATGCTGAATGGCACCTCTAGTAAATGGCTCCTCTAATTGAATGATGACCCCATTCCCTTTGGAATACACTGATAGTTTGCTCTTAGTAAAAATTCTGGGATGTAGACTTCAACCTCACACCTCAGTCAAGAACCAGGTGGCCATGTATATCTGGAAGTAACACTGAGAGTGTATCTGTGGATTACATTATTTCTAGACTTCACTAACTCCTCCTCCTAGCCCTTTAGTGAGATCTTTTCAGATCATATTTCCTGCCCCATCAATTCTGTCTTTGCTGATTATTAACATTTCTTGTTACTGTGTCTAAATCAATCTATTTCTGTTGAGTTGTTCTCCATTATCAAAACATTTTATAAGCAGAAATGTAGATAGCTAAAAAGGAGGGTAGCAGGAAGAGGAATTAGCAGAGACAAGAGGCAGCACATTTATGAAGCCTTGAGTTTCAAAATTATAATTATTGACAGTTTTCTCCATTGCATTTCACAAATCATATTATATTTCTAAATTAGTCTTTCTTCTCATGTCATGAAGACATTTAAAGGCTTAGAGGCTTTCTACATCTAGACTCATCTTTTTCAATTCATATTCCTTATAACCATCAACATGATCTTCCTAATTGGCAAATCTGACCTAGCCACTTGTCTTTTTAAATCCTTTGATGGCTCTTAATTTTTTGAACAATGAAATGCCAGCTTCTTGATATGACAAGTAGCCCCCTCAATGAACTTACCTCAACTCCTTGTTTCTTCTGACCTGTTACTATCTTCCCACATTTTATCATTCAAAAATTCCAAACTTCCTCCACATGTTATTTGATTACATTTGTGGTGTACTGTGGTTGGCTCCTACAGGCTCCTATTGGCACATAATAACTGTTAAATATTCAGAAATTTTATCAATCATTATAAAATAATTTGGCAGCTTGAAGTTAGCCATGGTGGAAATATGTACTATGGAAATTAACAAATGTTATCAATTAGGGTTTCTTCCTTCTCAAATAGGCAGTTGACCAGCCCTGAAAATTGCTCATGTACTTCAGGTGATAATACCCTAAATGATGTTAGTGTCTCCATGTCCTTCCATTAGGAGGTCTGCAGAACAGAGATAAAAATGGAAGCCAGAGAAAAGGCTGCAAGACCAATTTTACTTAGTGTATAAAGAAATGCTTAGTCAAGGTCCTGTGATGGAAAAAGGTATAAAAATATAAATGCAAATTTAAAAACTTACACTATAAATAAATATAACAGCTATAATAGCAATAAAAACCACAAAAACTCTTTTGTTTGGAGATTATATATATGTATGTAAATTATTTTGCTGTTGCAACAGAATTTAATTAAGTTTAACTACAATGTAGCTCTTATTAAATATTTCTAAATAAGATAATTGATTTTTGATTTGTACCTCACACTATAATATTTATACAATATAGCATTCAAAATGATACTTATACTATCTTTTGTTGGTTAAGCCTGTAGTGAGTACCATTATAGCATGACTAGCAATTCTTTCCTTGTTTAGACTTTAATACTTATACTCATTAGGGTTCATACAAGAATTTTCAACTTCCTAATGTGAAAAACGTAAGTTCTATGTGTATATGATGACTATTCACTGAGAAATTTTAGATTTGTGATTGTTTTACTTAGGCAGTAGGTGTTAACTCATTTTTTAATCCTCTTGTTATTTGGAAAGGTTTAAAGTAAGGGAATCAAAGTAACTTTTCTTTCCACTAGTGTAAATTATTGACAAAAAACTGTTTATAAAACATAGCATATATCTTTACTGCAGAAAGTTTTCAATATTCTAGTGCAGGATACAGTCCTAAAGATATCCTAAATTTCAGAGTTGATTTCTTAATTGAACTGGATAAATATTCTGAGTTTAAGTTTTGCAGTCTTTTAACCTCATGCTATAACACATTCAACACCAAGATAATATACTTTATTGTTTCTTTACCTAGTAAACATATCCAGAAAATGACAACTTCCAAACTTTTAACTTTTACCTTTATTGATAATGTAGGTGTGTTAGTCCATTCTTGTGTTACTACAGAGAAATACCTAAGGCTGGGTAATTTATAAGAAAAGAGATTTAATTGGCTCATGGTTCTGTAGACTGTACAGGAATCATGGTGCTGGCATCTGCTTCTTGTGAGGCCTCAGGAAGCTTACAATCATGGCGGGAAGCCAAGTGTCACATGGTGAGCACAGGAGCAAGAGAGAGGGAGGGAAGAGGTGCCATACTCTTTTAACAACCAGATCTCATGTGAACTCACTCAACCCCAAGGGGACGGCTCTAAGCTATTCAAGAGAGATCAGCCCTCATGATCTAATACCTCCCAGCAGGGCCCATGTCCAACGCTGAGGATTACATATCAACGTGAGATTTGGAAGAGACAAACATCAAAACAAAATCAATAGGTTATATGCAATACTTGCATTATCCTGTTAACTTGACATATGACAAATAGGAGATAATAAATGATAACCAAGATAAAAATTATCCAGAGCTTTCAACGTTTATTTTATGTATGCTTAAGATGATAAAATATATAGAGCTTATTTTTGAGAAGCCCTGTAACTGCCCCAAACCCATGTGGATGTCCCAAATTGAAGGGTCTTTTAATCTTTATATAGCATGTAAACATAATTTTATTGCTGTCTCAAAGATCATAACAAGCATCCTGGGCATTTCCTAGCATCTGGTAATATGTGTCATTCCACAAGTGATGGTGAAAATACATTGAAACATTGTGATGTGTTTGATTCCAGAAATGAATGAGCATCCAGGCACTGATGATGGTGGAACACTTTTTCCTTCCAGAGAGACAATTTTTAAGAAGGACCTGAAGGTTATCATGGCATAGGGCCTCTCTGACTTCCAAATTTTACAGATCCCACTCACTCCTCCAAATCTGCTCATTTGATTAACTTGAAATTCACTAATACATTCAGTCATCAAATACCCATTAAGCACTTTCTATGTAACAGGCATTTATCTAGGCACTGGAAATTCAGACCAAGTACCCTGCCTTCAAGAAGTTTACATTTTGTTGAAGGAAAGACATAAAAATAAATAAATAAGTAAATAAATAGGTAAACATATACACACATACACACATTTAATGTGTGATAGAAAGAATCACCATTTACAATTTAGTCCAGGCACTGGCTTCTCTGGAATGACTTCCTTGATGACCCAGGTCTGTCTTTTGTTCCATTTCTAGATACTCCCTGAGGACCCTGTACCTCCTTCCATTAAAGCAGCAATTCCATATTATTGTCAATATTTCTTTATGTTTGTCTTTGCCCAGTAGACTCCAAGAAAGCAAGGATCATATTTTCCCAATATTTTTTTCAAAATGACTAGCCCAATTCATTGGTCATGACATATATGATAAAATAGCTACAATTTACTGAGTGCTTAATAAATTCAAAATACTATTCTAAAGCCACTTATATCAGTTTTCTATTGTTGCATAACATATTACCGCAAACTTAGTGGCTTAAACAACACACGTTTATTATCTCATAGTTTCTGAAGGTCAAAAATCCAGGCACAGTTTAACTAGGTTTTCTGCTGAGGGTTTCACAAGGCTGCAGTCCAGGTGTCTGCAGAGATGCGTTTTTAGCTGAAGACTTGACTGGGGAACAATGTGCTTCCAAGCTCATTGACATGTTAGCAGTATTCATTTCCTTGTAGTTATATGACTTAGGGCCCTGGCTTCCTAATGCTATTAGCTGAAAGCTCCTGTAAATTACTAGAAGTTACTTACAGTTTTCTACCATGTGACTCTTTCCATATGCAGTTCATAACATCGCTGTTTGTTTCTTCAAAGTCAGCCAGTTATTGTCTCTAGTGTGCTAAGGGAAAATCATATAAAGGAAAGTAGTCATTTCCCATCATCTTTGCCATATCCTATTGGTTAGCAACGTAGGAGAAGTTCCACCTATACTCATGGGGAGGGGATTTCATAAGGGCATGATGCACTGGGGGCTGTCTGAGAATTATCCTGCCATACCATGTGTTGTCTCATTAAATCCTCACAACTCTGTAAGGCATGTGCTATCATTATTAAGTTAATGAAGCCTAGGACATCAGCTAGTAGAAAGCCAAGTCAAATACATGTTCACCAAATTTATAAGTGAAGTAGAAAAAAAATAAATGAATGCATTAATGTTGGTTCAGCTTTTCCCATTACAAGCAATATGAAATGCACCTGTGTAATTAATAAAAATCTACTCATCACAGCATGCTGCTTAAACTAAGAATCTGAGAAAAGATCAAGTTCTTGTGTCTCATATGCCTATTTGGTGGGATAGAAGTGGGAATTTCCTGAGCTATTTAACTCACTTTATTTCACTTCACCTTGATTGTGTGTGTGTGTTTATATATTCAATTCCAATAACTTAAAATTGTTTGTGCTATTAATCCATTGTAAAGTCATTAGAAATAATTTGATGATATTATATCATGTTACATTATTTTGATAGACTGATTTGTTTATGCATTCATTCATTCATTGTATACCTTCACTAATAAGAATATTACTTCTCTGAGAGCTGGACCTATTTGTTTTAAACACTATTGTGTCCTGAGAGCCTATCAAATAGTTGGCACTTAGCAGGCACTCAAAAAATAACTTTGAATGACTTCACTGAATCAAATAAAATAACATATTAAAACAATAATTTAAAATTTATTGTCATTTTTCTTTTGTTCAAACATTGTTGTTGCTACTGTTTGCTCTTTGTATTTAAAATCCAAACTGCATCTAGAATAAATTAGTGGAATTAATTATCAAGCTTCATTTGGCTTTAATGCACAATCAAACAAAATGTATTTTGAATTTTTTCTGTTGTTTAAACATCACCAGCATTTAATTAAATTTCAAGTAGCTAATGTGGGAAGGAATGAATTGCTTTGCCAAAACATAATCCATATAGATTTAAAGAAAAGTTGTGTTTTCCCATGTGGGCTTAACTCAGAAGGTCTAACTTATAAAGTGTTCCTCTGATCTCTGAAGACATACTCATTTTTATGATGTATTTCATATAATCAAACTAACTAAATGATTTTGGAAACAAGATTCCAACAGCATTTTTTTCTGTCTCTTCCACTTTCAGCTAGAAAATATCCAAATCATTTATCTTGAGGTAGATCTCTCTTGTAGCTTATAGCAGTAAACTCATGGCTAACATATGGTGTTATTTAGCCGTGTAACAGAAAAGATTAATCAAGGAACAAAATGTCATTATAAAGAAAACATTTTAAACTGTGATTTTCTTTTCCCTCACTTATGGGCATCTAGCCAAATTCATCTGTAGCTGACTTAAAGAAGGACATGTGGAAATAAAAAAACCAAACTCTTAAATTATCAGTGGCATTTAATGTATTTGAGATACTACAGTGGCATCCCATTGCTTGTGAAATGTAAATATTTCCTTTTAATGAGAAATTACGTTGTTGTTTTAATTTTCTTGTAGGTGTGAAGTGAATTTTTTTGGTGTTCATTAAAAAGAGTAATATCACCAACATTGCCAATAATAGCCATCCATGCTCGAGCTCTTACTATTGGCCACCTAAGACTTATAATAGGCCAGGCGCGGTGGCTCACGCCTGTAATCCCAGCACTTTGGGAGGCCGAGGCGGGTGGATCACCAGGTCAGGAGATCAAGACCATCCTGCCTAACACGGTGAAAACCCGTCTCTACTAAATAATACAAAAAATTAGCCGGGCGTGGTGGACGGTGCCTGTAGTACCAGCTACTCAGGAGGCTGAGGCAGGAGAATGGCGTGAACCTGGGAGGCGGAGTTTGCAGTGAGCCAAGATGGTGCCACTGCACTCCAGCCTGGGTGGCAGAGCGAGACTCTGTCTCAAAAAAAATAATAATAATAATAATAATAAATTATTATATCTTCTAGATCTCTCTGAAAAGAGAAGGTTTTAACTCATGAGTGGGAGAACTTATAGGAAAGACTTTAGTAAATGTTGTAGGTTACAAAGAATACTTGGCCTTATTGAACAACTTGATATGTTAGAAATGTCTTGTTATTAGGGCAAATAGTCACTGGATGGAAAAATAACTCCTTATTAACAATAGCTATTGTGTTTTGAATTCATATAAGTACTATTATAGTTAAAATAAATTTTTAAAAAGTCATAGTAGCTTTCCATCAAATTTTTAAATCAAGCACTAAAATAGTATAAGGAACGAGGATCAACTATTGCTTTTGATATGAAGCCTTTACACTTTAAATATTAATAACTATTGCATTATCTCATTTATTCCTTACAAGGGCCTTGCTTGCACCTCAAACTGAAGAAATTAACATTAATTATATGCTTAACTTTAGGTAAGCGCTTTACTCATGAATTATTGACTCACCTTGTGAGGTAGGTACTAGTTATCCCAAGGCCATGGGTATGAACACAGACCTGTTTGATTTTAAAGCTTTTGTTTCTCCAATTGACCTACACTGCACAGTTTCTGAACCAGCTTAAACTTTGTCTTATCTACATGTATCCTCAAAGACTGTAGGTTTTCTTTTCTTTTTTCTTTCTTTCTTTTTTTTTTTTTTTTTTTCTGAGACAGAGTCTTGCTCTGACACCCGGGCTGGAGTGCAGTGGCGCAATCTCGGCTCTCTGCAACCTCCACCTCCCGGGTTCAAGCAATTATTCTGCCTCAGCCTCCTGAGGTGTAGCTGGGATTACAGGCACCCGCCACTATGCCCGGCTAATTTTTTGTATTTTTGGTAGAGATGGGGTTTCACCATGTTGGCCAGGCTGCTTTTGAAGTCCTGACCTCGTGATCCACCCGCCTCGGCATCCCAAAGTGCTGGGATTACAGATGTGAGCCACCGCGCCCGGCCAAGACTGGAGGTTTGCAGCAGTTTTCCAGAACCTGTGAATGCTGCTCCCATTTTATGGAGTCATATGATCAACTTTTTGTTTGTTCTGGTTGTATATTTACGCATATACATATTCACTTTATAAATTGAACAAAGAACACATTCTCATAACTTCCTCAAAACCTGCTGGATATGTGACACATTAATTTGGAATACATTTGTATAAATTAACATTCTAAGTATGTAAACTAAAATTCAGACTAGGTAGCAGTATGAACTCCACTTCATTTATATTTCCAGGCATAAATTAATTTTTTTTACTGAAATAGGACAATTCTTCCCTAATGAGTTCTATATTAAAATAATAAATGTAATGTTAAACATGAAGCCACAGAGATTGTTTACACTGGTAACTGTTCATAAAATTAGTATTTCCTTAGTTCCCAGGGATAGTAGCTATATTGTTTATTAGCAGACACAAACAAATTAATCTGTTGGAAGAAAAAATAAGCACAATATCCTTTGACATTTTCATGCATGATAAACACGACATTATTCTGCCAAATTTATACTGAACAGAGAATGGTACTCAATCCAATTCAACAAATATGCATTAAATGTTTACCATTAACATGTTATTCTAATAAATGTTCTTTCCAAAGATAGCAAAAACACAGCTTCTGACCTCAAAAAAAAGATAGTGTCTATTACAGAAAATAAGATAAGTAATTTTTTAAGTGAGTACTAAGGGCCTAATATTACTGGTTCTATAAAAATGATGCAAAGTGCTATGAAAATTTAAAGGAGTGAGAACTAACATTGAGTTGAGGTGATTAAGAAGTGCTTTAAGTAATGTCTGCCAATGAGATCTATCTTTAATAATGTGTCTTCATGATGTGAAGGTAGATTGAGAGAAAAATCATTGCACTATGGGCATAGCTTGAGCAATGATATAAAAATGAAAAGCATTTATGATGTTTGGAGGAATAAATAGTACCATTTGACTACAGAACATGTCATTCATTATTTTACCAAGATTTAATGCGTGCTTTCTATGTATTAGGCATTCATTTAGGGACTGGGAATATAATAATGAACAAAATAGACAATATTCTTCTTTGAAGTTTGTTTCCTTGTGATGCAAGATAATAGGCCTACAAGAATGCAAATAATCGAATGAGTCATATGAAGTAGATTGACAAAGTAGAAGAATTCAGTAATAAGGAGTCTTGAATTCAGCTTGGGTTGTTGTTTATAATTCCGTTTTAAGTTAACGCTTTGAAAAGTTCTGAGTGATAGGGTAGTCACTATGGTGTATAAAAATTAGTATATGCCTGTGTATGAATTAGAATTGAATAAACAGCAATGAAATCGGTTAGAAGGCTGCTACAAGTGGTTCAGGCATATGTCACAAATTAAGCCAATGGCTATAGGAATGAAAACATAAGCAATTGGGTGAAACACATTAAAAAGTTTATGAGTCTTTACAACTGACTAAATGTGTGGGAATCAAAAAACATAAAGTCTTAAGTATTAATATCTAATCCTTTAATACTAGACAAAGAATTGTGCCATTATCTGCAAAGCCAAAAAATAATCAAAAGATGGTTTAAAAGAGAAGGTAATAAGTCTAGTGTTTATCCTTTGGGAAGTAGTCAGAATATACCAATGATGAGGTAGAGCAGGCAATGTGAAAGTTAGTGTCACAGCAATGAGTGAGCAATTAAAGCTAAACATATTAGAAGACAAAATTATTTGCATTGATTTACTGATGTTAAATTGAATGTTACTTGGGACTGAGTATGGAAGGGGAGAATGGAACGACTTGGGAATATCTACATTTAAAGAGTTAAAGTAGGTTAGGGTTGATGTTAGGTAGAATGTGGTTGAGATTATGTTTTTAAAGTATTTTATTCTAGGGGATAGAGGGAGAAAAACAAGGCAACTAAGGAGACAAAGAAGAAACAGTGCATCATAAAAAGAGTATAAAATTGGTGGCATGAGGAAATGAAGGAAGTATGATTAACAATGACCCATTCTATAAAAGTCAAAGAAAGTAAGAACCAGAAATAAGTCATTTAACTTTAGATTGAGAGGTCATTTCTAAGGTGAATTTTTGAAATGCAGTAAAACCAAAAAGGTAGATGCTGAAGAATGCATACTCTGTGATTTAATTTATATAAAGGTCAAGAAGAGGAATATCTGTCATGGTAAAGATTATAATATTATTCTTGAGGGATGAAATATAAAGAAAACTTCTGAGGATGCCAGAAATGCTCTAAGTCTTGATTTAGGTTGTTACATGGGTGTATATATATGTAATAATTATTTTAGTTATATATTGAAGCTTTGTGTAATTCACTATAAATAGTTTAAATAGCAATTAAAAGTGAAATTTTATAGAAAGGCAAGAAGGGAAGGAAGAAAGGAAAGAAAAGAAAACAGAAAAAAACAGAAATCTGGTCCATAATGGTTTATTGAACAATGTCTCCAGCTTCATATAAAATTAAGCATATTCCCAGACCCAGAAGTAACATATGTTACTAAATTCCCAGTATTGCTTATGCTAGTTTAGGCTACATATTCTGTCATTTGCAATATAAAGCATCCTAAATTGTAGAAATACAGATAAAAAAGCTTAAGTATCATTTTGCAATTTGAATCATAATTTAAAATTATGATTAATAATTTTAAGTAATATTAAATATTTTTCATATTAAAATGAGAAATCCAGAAATGCTATGTGTTCTACGAACTCAACTTAATGTTATAAAGTAGCCTGTTAATTACATGACAGTATTAGAATATAAGGACAAATATTTATGTATACATATGACAAAATATGTGTAACATTTTTATACTGAAAAGTAACAAAACACTATAGAAGTAAATGAAGACCTAAATAAATGGAGCTTTAATGTCACATTCAGGAATGGGCAGACTTAGTGTTGTTAAGATGTAAATCCTCCCCAAAGTGATCCAAAGGTACAAAACAATCACAGTAAAAATCCTGAAAGGATTTTTTTGTAGAAATTGACAAGCTGGTTCTCAAATTTACGTAAACAAGGCATGGGAACTAGAATAGCCAAAACAATTTTGAGAAACTACAGTTGGGGTAATTATACTACTTGATTCAAGATGAAGTGCACACTATAATTTAGGAAGATAGTGTGGTATTGGTATTGGTGAATAGATAAAGCAACATGAAAGTCTAGAAATATCCTGCACACATATTCAATTGAGTTTTGAACTCATTCTGTTTAGTTCATCTCTGTTTTTGCAGTTATTTGATGAGCCTTCATTGCTTATCTTAAGCTGAAGACTCTTAGGCAGTGGTTTGAGCAAAACAAAAGATTTCAGAGAGAATAAAAAATATTTTCAATCAGATGAGGGAAGAAAGCATTTGTGAAGACGACACTAAACTCATAATATAGCAATACGTAAATCACAAAACATCAGGAATATATTATGAATGGAGAATAAGGTGCCTTTGTGGGAATGGCAGGTGAGAGGCATGATAAGCAATTTGGTGCCAAATCACTAAAAGCCTTTTTTACTTGGAACACAATGGGGAGCTGCCACAGGTTTTTCAGCAAGTAGTCATGAAGCATTGTGTGCATGTGGGGTGGGGGAGTACATACCAAGAATGAGTGAGTTAGAAGAGCTAAAGGCAGGGAGCCAAGGACAGACATTTGCCATAGCCAAAGGAGAAGTTATATGATAGAAATGCAGTAGGAAAATTGAGGGCAAGGAGAATAGATTTAATTTTTTTAATTGAGGTTTTATGTTACCTGATAACTCATTGATTATGGGGCAAGAGACAAGAAAGCAAGTATATGACTTCAGGTTTCTGGCCTGAACAAGATGTTTTTAATTTGACCAATGTTTCCATGAGTATAAACTTATCAGATACTGAAAGGGCAGTGGCTTGAGGATGCACATGGGATGGGCATGTGGTAATTAGTTAAGCTTTGAACTTACTTCCAAAACAAAATGTTTTAGGGACAGACAAGTGAAAAATATCAAAGAGCCAGCTTAAAATATAGGCCTGACAACCAGGAAGGAAATGTATACTGGCAATGCATATTTTTAGTTTATTCAAAACAAACATTTATTAACTCAGGAAATATTTGAGGGCCAAGTATGCCACACATGTAGATGATTTATCTCTGTTTTGTCATCTTGTTTACATCAACCCTATGGAGAAGGCGTTGAGGCCATAGCTATGGAATAGGTGGTCATGGAGAGCAAAAACATGGATAAGGAAACACAAAGGAGCTGAGGACACTCCTCATTATCTCCCAATTTAGGGTGTGGTTGAGGAAAAAGAAGCAATCAAGCAAAGACACAGTATTTTAGGAAAGATAAGGGAACTGAGAATTTGAAGCCAAAGGTGTAAAGTTTCAAGAAGGAATGATTGATGGGGATGGCATTGAATCTATAAATTACCTTGGGCAGTATGGCCATTTTCACAATATTGATTCTTCCTACCCATGAGCATGGAATGTTCTTCCATTTATTTGTATCCTCTTTTATTTCATTGAGCAGTGGTTTGTAGTTCTCCTTGAAGAGGTCCTTCACGTCCCTCGTAAGTTGGATTCCTAGGTATTTTATTCTCTTTGAAGCAATTGTGAATGGGAATTCATTCATGATTTGGCTCTCTGTTTGTCTGTTATTGGTGTATAAGAATGCTTGTGATTTTTGCACATTGATTTTGTATCCTGAGACTTTCCTGAAGTTGCCTATCAGCTTAAGGGGATTCTAGGCAATACCATTCGGGACATAGGCATGGGCAAGGACTTCATGTCTAAAACGCCAAAAGCAATGGCAACAAAAGCCAACATTGACAAATGGGATCTAATTAAACTAAAGAGCTTCTGCACAGCAAAAGAAACTACCATCAGAGTGAACAGGCAACCTACAGAATGGGAGAAAATTTTTGCAATCTACTCATCTGACAAAGGGCTAATATCCAGAATCTACAATGAACTCAAACAAATTTACAAGAAAAAAACAAACAACGTGATCAAAAAGTGGGCGAAGGATATGAACAGACACTTCTCAAAAGAAGACATTTATGCAGCCAAAAGACACATGAAAAAATGCTCATCATCACTGGCCATCAGAGAAATGCAAATCAAAACCACAGTGAGATACCATCTCACACCAGTTAGAATGGCAATCATTAAAAAGTCAGGAAATAACAGGTGCTGGAGAGGATGTGGAGAAATAGGAACACTTTTACACTGTTAGTGGGACTGTAAACTAGTTCAACCATTGTGGAAGTCAGTGTGGAGATTCCTCAGGAATCTAGAACTAGAAATACCATTTGACCCAGCCATCCCATTACTGGGTGTATACCCAAAGGATTATAAAACGTGCTGCTATAAAGACACATGCACACGTATGTTTATTGTGGCACTATTCACAATAGCAAAGACTTGGAATCAACCCAAATATCCAACAATGATAGACTGGATTAAGAAAATGTGGCACATATACACCATGGAATACTATGCAGCCATAAAAATGATGAGCTCATGTCCTTTGTAGGGACATGGATGAAGCTGGAAACCATCATTCTCAGCAGACTATCACAAGGACAAAAAACCAAACACCGCATGTTCTCACTCATAGGTGGGAATTGAACAATGAGAACTCATGGACACAGGAAGGGGAACATCACACACCGGGGCCTGTTGTGGGGTGGGGGGAGGGGAGAGGGATAGCATTAGGAGATATACCTAATGTTAAATGATGAGTTAATGGGTGCAGCACACCCACATGGCACATGTATACATATGTAACAAACCTGAACATTGTGCACATGTACCCTAAAACTTCAAGTATAATAATAAAAAAAGAAGGAATGATTAAGGAGCTCAGATGACTCAGAATGGGTTAGGTAAAATATAAAATAAAGAAATTTTGGTTTTCCAGTTAGATAATTGAATATGAAATTTAGATTTTTCCCATTAATTTGTGATAGTTGAGGCAATGAAATAAATTACTAAATTAGAGGTGAGGAAATTACAGACAGTCTTTATAGACTGAACTTTCAAAATGTTAGATTGGAGAGGTGGGAAAGACAGGAAGAAACTTGAAAAGAGATTTTGGCATAAGCCATACCTGGACATATTTCTAGTTTAAAAGAAAGGTGACAGTACAAAAGAAAGGAATAAACAAGATTATTTGAAAAGTATACATTCTAGAGCAGCCAGAAAAAGAGAATTGGAAGCTTAAGAAGTAAAGGGTATGTGTGAAAGCAGAAAATATTTCAGGAATGATAGGGTAGAAGGAGAATCATAGCTAACACAAACCCAATTTCCAATCCAATCTCAGCATTCAATTAGAAAGTCTTTAACACCAAAATGCTTACTTCTCATATATTACAGTATTTGAAAAGAGCATATGAAATAGACCCTTAGAGCTATTAAATTAAGTTTTTAACATATGTTCAAATTAGTTTGAGAGTTGAAGACTATTATTCTTGGCAGATAAAATGAAATATAAAATTTTCTTAAATCTACTAGCAAATGTGGGCCTTTCAAATATGCTTTAATTTACTACTAATTTATACATAGATAAGACTTTTTACTTTAATTAAATGTTCTATGGAACACATTGCATAAAATAGAAATAAAGTATTTGCATAGAATGATTTATTTACACCTTTTAAAGATACACAGTTTAAATTATAATTGTGTTGGGGGATATGAGTAAATTGTTTGAAGAAGGCTGTTCGTTAAATGATCTTTTGAGAGTTAATTATAGAATTACACCTTTAAAATTGTAAGGAAAGGCAATTTGCATTAGTTTCTTGAATTAGATGATTCAATATGCTTATTTAAGTAACTACCTTCCAAGAATAAGATTGAGAAAATCCTACCAAGCTTTGCAATTTAGCAGACTCTAAATCTTGTCATCTTGTTTTCATCAACCCTATGGAGAAGGGTCCATAGGAGAAGAGTTCATCAATAACATTGAAAGTACGCTGACACACTTTTAGAACACAAAATCATCACTGTACAGTATAAACATATTTAACATACCTTGGTAGTTGAAAAACATGAACAGCCTGGAAAAATACAAAAAGAAATACTTAGCATCTGGTGCCAAGAAATCACTAAAGTCAGATCAATGAGGCAGTTTGAAATTATTTCCCCACCTTTTACAAAATAAGTCTTTGATTAAGACTGATAATACTAAATAGTGTGTGATTTCAAATGGACTACGTAATATGGCATTTGTGTTGAAAATTTAGTAATAATATACCATTCTTAGATTTATAAGTTAAAAAAAATCTAATGAATTACAAGGATTCCTCTGAGCTTCATACATATTAAAAAATCCCAGGTATGCTGTTAGAAATATCCAATCCATATATATAACATGTCTAATAATTCAATGAGTCATTTGCATTCTCTGTTTATTAATTGTTGCTTCACTCAAACATTGCTCACTTCAGAAAATAGGTACAAGATGAATTATATTTAAGCAATTAGTAGTTTTATTTATAATAAAGTTCACTTTAACATAACTTATTGGTAAGAAATGCCCATACAATTTTCATGGGAATATACTGCAAAATTACTATTTACTTTTTTTTTTTTTTTTTTGAGACAGAGTCTTGCTCTGTCCCCCAGGCTGGAGTGCAGTGGCATAATCTTGGCTCACTGCAAACTCTGCCTCCTGGGTTCAAGCAATTCTCATGCCTCAGCCTCTGGAGTAGCTGGAATTACAGGCATGTGCCAATATGCCCAGCTAATTTTTGTATTTTTGGTAGAGACAGGTTTTCACCATGTTGGCCAGGCTGCTCTTGAACTCCTGACCTCAAGTGACCCAGCCACCTCGGCCTCCCAAAGTCCTGGGATTACAGGTGTGAGTCACCACGCCCGGCCCCTCTTTACTTTTTTCAATGTTTAAAAGGGGCTATACTCTATAAAGATTAAAGACAATAATTCTGTGTGTTTGAGAATTGCTGTATTTTAAAACAGTTGAGCTGTAAGTATCCAGTTTCACTTTTGTATGTGTAAATTGAATACAGTGAAAACTCTGCCTAAAAAAAAAGTCAAATGATTTTCTAAACATTGCATATCTTAAGTCTGTGTCTTTTATATGACTCCAAAATAATTGTTTAATTAATCCAACCAGTCTGTCATTTAGAGAGGCAATAGTTCAATAATTAATATAATATGGATTAAAAATGAAGATGTTTTCTTGAATTTTTTTTTGTTTTCAACAGTTTCTTGTCTTTAAAAATCCATAGACAAGCAAAGAAAAGCAGAGGCTATGTAGTAACTATGTTTAGTAGTAATATACACAATTAACATTATAAATCATTTAAATTCCTATGGGCAACATAATGTGGTAGTAATATCTGAAATCAAAAATTATACAGTTACTAAATATAGGTCTTGCCATGGTTACTTATATTCTCAGATTTTTTCCTTTACTGGATTTTATGAAACTGTAAATATGGCAAACATATGTTTCTGTAAATAAGAAAAAGGGCTGGGTTGGAATGGGACAGAACTATTAGGCACTAAACGGGTTTTGTGATTTAGTGACATTAAACATCTTTTGGCAGTTTTGTTCAACCATTGCACACAGAAACTTTTGTCTAATTTGGTTAAGATCCCTAAGCATTACTGACCTACTCAGACAACCTAGGTATTTGAAAAGACCACAGACTCTAGAGCAAGTCTCACATTCAAACTCTGTCTATTCCTAATTATGAAAACTTGGACAAGCAATGTATCTCTCTATAACTCAGTTTCCTCACATCTGAAATGGTTAAAATCTCAATATCTACTTCATAATACTGTTGTGAGAAATGATTTAGATAGTCAGATAGCACTCAGAACAGGGCCTGGCACATAGTAAGCTCATAGTAAATGCTAGCTGTTATCACTGTTATTGTTATTTTATGAAAGGAGCATCCTCACAATAGATTTTTGGTCTGTGTCTTAAAATACATGATAAATTCATAACTTTCACTGTATTTTGTTCCTTTCAACTCACACTGATTATATCTACTGTGTTCATCACTTAGGTTAAACATACATAATTTTTTATGTTTACATATATACATAATTTATTTTTAGATCTAAGTTGGGCACTTCCTGATAATAATTCAGCCAGTCTATTCTGGCACTACATCTTGAAACTGTGTGTTTTACCTCAGTGATGAACCTATGAGCAGCATTTCCATAGAAACCCCAATGAGAAAGCCAGGACCTGATAAATTCACTCGGTGTCAAATAAGAACATAACATATGTTGTGTACACATATAACAGGAATATGTCTTATTAAGGTTAAAGATAGTGAGAGGCAGATTTGTGGCTTTTCCTATCCTAGATAGTAATAATCACATCAGGTCTTTCTTCAGTATCAATTTTTAAATTACATTTGTGTTCTTTAACTTTGAAATATTTTAAGTTGTCAATGTAACATATTGAAAATTAATGAGAACAAAATATTTAATGACAATTATATAATGATACTTTTTAATTAAAATGTGAAGGATCTAACAGACATATACAGAATATTCTACCCCGAAACAGCAGAGTACACATTCTGCTCAAGTGTTTACAGAACACTCTCCATGATAAATAATATGTTAATTCCCAAAAAAGACAACACATTTAAAAAGAATGAAATCATAGTATCTTTTTCAACCACAATGGAATAAAACTGGAAATCAATAAAAGAAGAAAGAGTAGAAAATTCAGAAGTATGTGTAAATTAAACAACACTCTCTTGAACAACCAATGGGTTAAAGAAAAAAAATTAGGAGAAAAAGTAAAAAATACCTTTAGATGAAGGAAAATTAAAATACAACATACCAAAATGTATGGAATGCAGTAAAAGCAATACTAAGAGAGAAGTCTGTTGTAATGACACCTTCATTTAAAAAGAAGATCTCAAATCCCTAACTTTAAACCTCAAAGAACGAGCAAAACAAAAGTAAACAACTAAACCCCAAAGTTAGTAGAAGAAAATAAATGATAAAAATTGGAGCAGGAATAAATGAAACAGAGAATAGAAAAGCAATAAGAAAACATAAATGAAACTAAGAGTTAGCTTTCTGAAAAGATTAACAAAATTAACAAGCCATTAGTTAAAATAACTAAGAAAACATAAATAGAATAACTATAATAAAATCAGAAATAAAAGACATTACAACTGATGCCACAGACTATAAAAAGTGATTGTAACATACTATAATGAACAACATGCCAACAAATTGAGTAACCCACAAGAAATTCTACCAAATACTTAAAGAATAATTAATGCCAACAACCAATCCTAATCTATATTTTTTAAACAACTGAAGATGATGAAAGACATGCAAATTTATTTAATGAGTTGAATATTACCCTGATACCAAAGCCAGACAAAAACACTACAGGAAAAGAACAACCTAAATATATTACAGATGAATGGATAAAAAAAAATGTGGCACACACACGCACACACAACGGGATATTATTCAGCCATAAACAAGAAGAAAATTCTGCCATTTTTGACAACATATACGAATGTGAAGGAGATAATTCTCAGTGAAATAAGCCAATCATGAAAGGACAAACACTGCTTGATAATGCTTACCTGAGGTATATAAACTAACCAAACACAGAAACAGAGAGTAGAATGGTAGTTGCCAGTAGCTTGTAGGATGGGAAAATGGGAAGCTGCTATTTGTCTTAATTTGTTTGGGCTGCTATAATATCATTAACTGGGTGAATTAGAAACAACAGAAATTTATCTCAGAGTTCTGAGGGCTGGACATTGTAAGTCCAAGGCACCAGGAGATCCAGTGTCTGCTAAGGGCCTGTTTTTGGGGTCATAAATGGTGCCTTCTTGCTGTGTCCTCATTTGGTGGAAAAGATGAGGGGTCTCTCTCAGGCTAAATTTATGATGGCACTAATCCCATTTATGAAGGCTCTGCCTTAAATATCTAATCACCTCCCAGAGGCTCTACTACTTAACATTATTATCTTGGAGTTAGGATTTCAACATGTGAATGTGAGGAGAAAACAAGCATGATATAGTTTGGCTCTGTGTCCCCAACCAAATCTCATGTTGAATTGTAATCCTCAGATGTCAGGTGAGGGAACTTATAGGAGGTGATTGGATCATGGGGGTGGATGTCCCCCCTGCTGTTCTCATGAAAGTGAGTTCTCACCAGATCTGATGGTTTAAGAATGTGACACTTCCTCCTTTGCTCTCTCTTCATGTAAGATGTGCCTCACATCCCCTTCACCTTCTGCCATGATCTTAAGTTTTCTGAGGCCTCCTCAGCCATGTGAAACTGTGAGTCATTTAAACCTCTTTTCTTTATAAATTACCCAGTCTTAGGTAGTTCTTTATAGCAGTGTGAAAATGAACTAATAAAAAGCATTTAGTCCATTGTATTGTTCAATGGGTGAAAAGTTTCAGTTATGCAAAATGGATACGTTCTAGAGATCTACTGTACATTTTCTATGTTAGTATTATTGTATTACTGTATTGTACACTTAAAATTTAAGTGTTCACACAACGGTCATAATTTCTAAAAAAAAATGCTTACATTCTCTAGATATACATGTTTAGTACTGATGTAATTTGGTTCTGTGTCCCCACCCAAATCTCATGTTGAATTGTAATCTCCATGTATTGAAAGAGAGGCCTGTTGAGAGGTGACTGAATCATGGGGGGGTGGACTTCCCCCTTGCTGTTCTGGTGATAAAATTCTCAGGAGATCAGCTTGTTTAAAAGTGTGTGGTACTTCCCCCTTCACACTCTGTCTCTCTTTCTCCTTCTCCACCATGGTAAGACATGCTTGTTTCCCCCTTTCCTTCTCCCATGATTGTATGTTTCCTGAGGCCACCCAACCATGCTTCCTGCAGAACTGTGAGTCAGTTAAACCTTATTTCTTCATAAATTACCCAGTCTTGGTCATTCTTTATAGTAGTGTGAGAATGGACTAATATAGAAAATTGGTACCGGGAGTGGGACACTGCTATGAAGATACCCGAAAATGTGGAAGCAACTTTGGAACTGGGTAACAGGCAAAGGTTGGAACAGTTTGGAGGGCTCAGAAAAAGATAGGAAGATGATGGAAAGTTTGGAATTTCCTACAGATTCGTTAAATTGTTGTGTCCAAAATGCTGATAGTAATATGGACAATGAAGTCCAGGCTGAGGTGGTCCCAGATGGAGATGAGAAACTTATTGGGAACTGGAGTAAAGGTCACTTTTGCTACACTTTAGCAAAGAGAATAGAAGTATTTTGTCCCTTCTCTGGAGATCTATAGAACTTTGAACTTGAGAAAGTTGATTTAGGGTATCTGGCAGAAGAAATTTCTGAGCAGCAAAGCATTCTTGAAGTGGCCTGGCTGCTTCTAAGAGCCTATGATCATTTGCATAAACTTAGAGATTATCTGAAACTGGAAGTTATATTTAAAAGGAAAGCAATGCATAGCAGTTTGGAAAATTTACAGCTTGACCATATGGTAGAAAAAAAAATTCTTTTCTAGGGAAAAATTCAAGCAGGCTGCAGAAATTTGCATAAGTAATGAGGTGCTGAATGTTAATAGCCAAGACAACAGGGAAAATGCCTCCAGGGCATTTCAGAGACCTTCACAGCAGCTTCTCCCATCACAGGCCTGGAGGCCTAGGAGGAAAAAATGGTTTCGTGAGCCAGGCCTAGGGTCCCACTGCTCGGTGCAGCCTCGGGACATGGAACCCTGCATCCCAGCCACTCCAGTTCCAGTCCTGGCTAAAAGGGGTCAAGGTACAGCTTGGGCCATTGCTTCAGAGGGTGCAAGCCCCAAGCCTTGGTGGTTTCCACATGGTGTTAGGCCTGCGGGTGCGCAGCAGGCAAGAGTTGAGGTTTGGGAACCTTCACCTAGATTTCAGATGATGTATAGAAATGCCTGAAGGTCCAGGCAGAAGTCTGCTGCAGGGGCAGAGCACTCATGGAGAACCTCTACTAGAGCATTGTGGAGGGCAAATGTGGGGTTGGAGTGCCTGCACAGGGTCCCCACTGGGACACTGCTTCGTGGAGCAGTGAGAAGAAGGCCACCTTCCTCCAGACCCCAGAATGGAAGATCTGCTGACAGCTTGCACCATGCTCCTGGAAAAGCAGCAGACACTCAACACCAGCCTAAGAACATGGCCACAGGGCCTGTACTCTGTAAATCCAGAGGGGAAGAGCTGCCCAAGGCCTTGGGAGCCCACCCCTTCTATCATTGTGCCCTGGATGTGAGACATGGAGTCAAAGGAGATTATTTTGGAGCTTCAAGATTTAATGAATGCACTGCTGAATTTTTCAGATTTTCATGGGGCCTGTAGCTTCTTTGTTTTGGCTAATTTCTCCCTTTTGGAATGGCAGTATTTACCCAATCCCTTTACCCCTATTATATCTTGGAAGTAACTAACTTGTTTTTATATTAGAGGCTAATAGGTAAAAGGGATTTGCCTTGTCTCAGAAAAGACTTTGGACTTAGATATTTGAGTAAATCCTGAAATGAGTTAAGACTTTGTGGGACTTTTGGTAAGGCAAGATTGTTTTTTGAAATGTGAGAATGACATGAAATTTGAAAGGAGCCAGGTACAGAATAATATGATGTGGCTCTATGCTCCCATCAAAATCTCATCTCGAATTGCAAACCCCTTGTGTTGAAGAAGCCTGGTGGGAGGTAATTTAATAATAGGGGTGAACATCTCCCATGCTGTTCTTGTGATGGAGTTCTCAGGAGATGTTGTTTGAAAGTGTGTAGCACTCCCCTCTTCTCTCTCTCTCTCTCCTGCTCTGACATGTGAAGATGTGCTTGCTTCCCTTTTACCTTCTGCCACGATTGTAAGTTTCCTGAGGCCTCCCAGCCATACTTTTCTGTACAGCCTGTGGAACTGTGAGCCAGTGAAACCTCTTTTCTCCATAAATTACTTAGTCTCAGCTATGTCTTTATAGCAGTGTAAGAATAGGCGAATACAAGTACTGATCTCATCTTAAATCAGCTTCAATATTAAATAATTTGTGAAACCTTTAACAAACCACATGAAGAGGAAATTCTGGTGTAATTTGATTCTTCTTTTAATTTGAGCGATTTCTAGTTTATAAACTGCATTTGTCTTATCCTGTGTTAGCATTACTAGAAAGGCAATTTATTTGCTGCAGGGTCCTTATTATTGAGGTCTTATTCTTTGTCAAGTCACCAAGTACCTTTTTTTATCATCTTCAGGGAGGTTTTGATTTCTCTCAAAATGCTTAATATGTGCATGATGTGTCCACAGTGTCTCTAGTATATGCAGCCTGTGACTTTCATTCTGGCAGCTGTGTTGTCTCTGCTGCAGCCAGCATTTTGAAGTCTGCTTCTGATGCAATACGCAGAATATTTTAAAAAATTGTTGGAGCCTATGATGAAAATTAATTGTCCCATAGCACTATGAAACTTCCTGGGTATATCATTAAATATTCTTGTGACAAGAAAACCTTACATCATTACTGTTTTATTACTTTATAGTCAATATCATATATTGTGGATACTCTTGGTCTTTATAAATTTAAATCAATAAAGAAGTAAGGAAAATTTGAGGGTCCATGTCTATAATCAGATTACACTAGACTTTCTGCAGTCAAAAAAATTCCAAAATATCAGAGACTTAATAAATAACAGCGGTCTAGTTCTTATTTCATGCAACCATCTCTGAACTAGGACTCAGACTCCTCCATGTGTAACAGCCTTAATACCCATTATAGCTACAAGTGACACATGTTATACAGCTTACATAGTATAAGCACATATTATACTGCTGCTTATATTTTATTGGCAGAAGCATGTCACATGGTTATACTTAACTTCAAAGAAATGCTGAAGTGCAATCCTTTCTTGTGCCTCCCAAAAAAGTGAATGGGTAATACTAAGGAGCATCACTATGTCTAACAAATGTTCAATTGTTCATGTAAGAGAGAAATAAAAATCTCATCATAATTTTAAAGCACTGTGTCAGTCTGCTTAAGCAGTGTGTAATAAATAGAAGAACAACATTGCAAGTTTATGTTCAACCTCTGGAAAATTAGACCTTTAAAAATGTTTTATGAAGCTAAAAAGAAAGGCTAATTTTCAAAGAACCCTAAGGACACTAAAAGCTTAAGAAACATGCAACCAAAATTTTAATTAAAGAGAGTTTAGACATAGAAGGACAGCCTCCTGATACCACAGACACTAAGAGCCATGATTGGGAGCATTCAGAACATAGTTTAACCATCAGAGACGTAAGCGGAGTTGAACGTAGTTAATGACATTGGAGACATGAAAACTCTTGCTGTGTCCTAGATTTCTTAGAATAAAGGAGGAGAGCAGTAATCTGGTTCTTTGCAAATACTTATCTCTCTGACCAGAGTTTAGTCATTTGATTCTTCCCATAACTGACGTAGCCTTGTAAAAAAAAGAAATGCACCTAAATCATAATCCTTCTTCCCATATTAGCAGGCATACGAATGAGCACCTTCACCATGTATTCTTTTCACTAAAAGTATTGCGCTCACATCCACAACTGACCTATCTATAGTAAATGCAGTGAATCTAATTATTCTTAATCAACTTGCCTAAGAATAACTATTCTTATGTAGCTTTTAACCAACCTCAGAGCCTTAAACTCTGACCACGGATTTTTCTGGGAAAACATTTCCAAATCATCCTATATGTGTCTGGATTGTTTTTGTGTTGATAAATTTATGTGAACATCATTCTGTTAACATTTGAGATAAATGGTATAAACTTCTGTCTTTCTGAAATTTAAAATATTCTTGGTATTAAATTTTAACCCATATAAAATATTAGCCAGGTAGCAATATTACATTTTAGGACATAGTCACACTAATCATATTTATCATAACAATCAATGTCCAAAAAATAATTGTATCTCATTCATTTTGCCATTCTACCAAACAGTCATTCACAAAATAATGTCACAGAAAAATACTAGGAAATTGTATAAATAAATGAATGAATGAATCAATGAATCAATAAACACTGAATAAATACATGTTAAAAAGAAGGGATTCAGTATTGCTACTTGAAAATTCCAGAAATAATCATTTTATGTTTAAATTTCACACTCTTCTGAGTAGAATGATGATATCTCATCTCTAGCCATTCTGATTCATCCTGCCCAGGACATAAATCTTCTTTTTGTCCAGCATATCCATGCGGTATATACTATCCACCCATTAGTCACTTAGCAACTGTTTTCATTATCAGATAAACAATGTCATGGTATCAACAGTTGTTTGTGTTCATGTAACCCTTATTTTACTTAACAATGGCTCCAAAGGAAACGAGTAGTGCTTCTGGCATATTATAATTGTTCTATTTTATAATTAGTTATTGTAGCCTCAATGCTTTCTGATACAACATGTTGCCATTAAGCAAAACACATTTCTGTTTAGTTCTTTCACTCACAAATTTATTGACTTTTCCATCTTAACTAAGCACTATGTGCTGTGACTGTAATTTTTGCAGTTTGAAGTGTAATAGTAAAACTAGCTCAAATACCTTTTTCCTTTTCATACCTGAAGATTTTACAATTTTAACTATGAATAGAAGATTGTTTTTACCATAGGTATTAGCAACCCCAGCAAATAATTGTCTTCATTTCATTGATAATATGAGAACCTTCACCTTTTCACTTAAAGAAAGCACATTATAGCTTATCTTTGGTACATCCAAATTGCCAGCATCAACACTCTTATGCTTTGGTGTTATTATTAGGTAAACTACATGTCACTTGAACACAAGAACTGTGAAAATCAACAGTTGATCTGATAACCAAGATGGCTGCTAAGTGATTAATGGGAAGGTAGCTTGTAAAGTGTGGATATTCTGGACAAAGGGATGATTCATTTCCAGGATAGGAAGAAGTGTGACACCAGGCAATTTTATCATGCTACTCAGAACAGCATGTAATTAAAAACATGAAAACTGCTTATTTCTGAAATTTTTGATTTAATATTTTTGAATCGCAGTTGGGCACAGGTAACTTAAACCATGGAAAATGAAACTGTGGATAAGGGGAAAATACCATATAAAAGAATTCTAGGAACAATGGTATGTCAACAACTTAAATAACTTAGATGAGATAAATAAATTTCTAGAAAGACAAAACTACTGAAACTAACTCAAGAAGAAATAGCAAATCACTTAAGAATAGAAAAACACTTAAGGAAAAATTAACTGTAATTATTCACTGACTCTTCCAAGAAAAAAAGAGAAGAGAATACTTCCCAAGCCATCATATGAGAGTCACATAAAACAGTATCACTGATATAAAAATCAGGCACATCACGAAAAAAGAAAGCTAAAAACCAATATTTGGTATGAGTATAGAGGCAAAAATCCTCAAGAAAATGCTAACAAATCAAATTAAGCAATAGATAATAAGAATTGTACACAATAACCAAGTGGAACTTATCCCAGGAATTCAAGGTATAGTTAGCATTTGAAAATAAATTAATGTAATGTACAATATTTATAAAATAAAAGGTAAAAGCTACATAATCATTTCAGTTCCTGCAGACAAAGCACTTAACATACTCCAACACTCTCAAATCTGTTGAGAAATAACCTAATGTTTAAAAATAGGGGTTACGCCCTGAAAGCTTAGGTAGTTCAGAAATATTTTCTCCAAGTTTTGATACCTGTGGGTCACATAATACTTTGTGCACACAAGAATCACCAGTTTAGTGACTCCAGGAGGGAGACTGATGGCCCACCTCAGTCAGGTGGAGCCAGGAAGAACTTTTCCCACTGAGACAGATCAGACTGTTGAGTAGACTGGCATGCTCCAAACAGATCACCCGAGAAAATGCACTGAGAGTGGATAGAGAGATGTCCCAGATGCCAGGGCTGAAGGGGTAGGAAGCTGGAAACTTTGCAATCTCAAATCAAGAATAAGATCAGAGGTGAATACTTGAAAAACACATGGTGGCTTTTCCTTTGTTTGTAATTTGTCCATGATGTCTGGGTTTTACAAGCAGCATACATTATTCAGAAAATATAAAATTAATTTTTAAAGTGAGACCTCCCTGCTGAACAAGGAATTCCAAACATGAAAGGTTATACACAAATTACAATAGGTTAATGCTTGTTTTACAAAGGTATTCATGCAATGACAGTGTAATATAATATATAATAAATAACATCAGGCCCCTTTATGAATTATTCCTATTTTCTAATCTATATATGAAAATTTCTATTTCTAAAATATTTTTTAATTATTTTATTGATAAAAATTAAAAACTTAAGAAAGTTTTCTAATAAATATAATATCTACGATATTCACAAATTTACAATTGTTCTGTTTTCTGAGAAAATTGTGATTGATTTTTATGAATAATGCTCAATATTTCAAATTGGGAATTCAATATATAAGACAACATAATTTGTCACAATTTGGATCTAATTACATATTTCTACATTTATTTATTAGTTAAATATTTGTATGTGTTCCAAGACACTCTTTTCCACTATTTTGAATTTAATAATATTGATTGGACTTCTTTTTTTTTTCTTTTTTTTTTATTATTATACTTTAAGTTTTAGGGTACATTGGACTTCTAAATTCAATTTAAGAAAAATATAATGTATGGAAGATATATATATAACTAAATACCCCTATGTAAACTGAATTAATTAAATTGGAAATACTGAAGGAATACTCTGCTTGCAGATATTCAAAAGTTGTGGTTTGAGAGATGGGAAATGGGATATTTATTAAAGGTTGCCTGACTATAAACTGTTTGGTTTATATTACTCTCTTATCACTATTTATTATACTTAAGGCTTGCTATATACACAAGATGCTTATGCATTTTGAGGCTGAATACATTTTTATTTTGAAGCATTTAATGATAAGTTGCTGTTGCCTGAATTTAATAGGTTCTTGAGAAAATGTGGTTGTATCTCCAGATTCATAATATTACACTAAACTAGATTTAGCATTTTATTATAGAAAAAATGGAGTCAGGAGTCACCTATCTGAGACACTTTTGAAACAGGACAGAAAAGCCCAGAAATAAAATGCTGCTAGGAAGATACAATTTATTTTCTTCTGCCTGCCTGCATTTAAAGTAAGGGTATATTTAACCCAAAAAAGAACAGATGGATTGTATTTATAATGGTCACAGATGAAATGTTGCCTTATTCAATTCTTCTATTAATTTCTTTCTACTGCTCCCACTGCCAAAAAGTGCACTGTTACACATAGGTGAATTAAATGAAAAGAAAATGGTAGACTGTGTATGTAGTATATGATTTGTGGAAAGCTGTTTACTTCAAGTTAATTTTGAAGTATTATCTAGTTTGAGCTTTTCCTGCTGAACCTTTAGCCTTGGGGTAAAATGTAGCATTCTATTTTAACATTATATTTATAATTTTTTCTACAGTATGTTGTTGAAAACAAGAGCCAATTAACGGAATAGAAAGTGGAATAGAAAGCCACTATGGCTTTCTATTCCAAAGCCATAGTGACTTTGGAATAGAAATGCAGTGTATATCCATGCAATAAACACGAGAGAAGTGGCCAAGGTATATGAAGCATAAATCATTATATTCTTAAAATCTGACTCTGAATGAATGAGAATGAGCAAACTAAATATTTTTCTTCGAAATATATCGGATGTCTTCTTTTTAAAAAGTTAGGTTTGGTGTATTTCAAATAAGCAATGAGTAAAACTGAAATGAACTGCAGTTTTGAAAAGCTCCCCTTTGTCTTCCATACTGGACTGCAAAATTTAATTTGTTTTGTTTTGATCATTTCCATGTTTCCATCACTTAGAACAGTGCCAGGGCATTGATGATGAAAGTGTCCTTCACATTGCATTAATAAATGCAGGTATGGAAGAAATAATTCATTTTATATTTAGAACTTCACTACCAAATAAAAATAAATTGGGCTATAGAAAATAAAAGTGTGCATACATAAATTATATGTAATAATAAGGTTACCATAAATCAAACACATATTTATATATTATGATAATATATATTTATATATTATGATACATATTGATTTATGATACATATAGATCTACATATTATTATTAAATAAATATATAAATATACAAATGTATATAATTATGCATTGTATGTAATCAAATATATCATTTGTTTAAATATATAGATAGAAAATTTTTGCACTAGGCAGTAATTGGTTGTTTGACAGCTGTTTGAAAGCCAACAGGTATATGAGAAAATGTTCAATATCACTAATCATCAGGAAAATGCAAATCAAAACCTCAATGAGATATCACCTGACTCCTGTTAGAATTGCTATTATACTGAAGGCAAAAAATAAGTGTTGGTGAGGATTAGGAGAAAAAGGAATTCTTACACACTGTCAGTGGGAACATAAAGTAATACAGTCATAATGGAAAACAGTATGGTGGTTCCTCAAAAAATTAAAAATAGAGCTAGCATATGATTCCACAATCCCACTATTGTTTATATATTCAAAGGACATGAAATCAGTATGTTGAAGAGATATTTGTACTTCCATGTTCATTGCAGCACTATTCACAATAGCTAAGATATGGAATCAATCTAAGTGCCAATAAATGGATGATTAGATAAAGAAAATGTGTGTATATACACAATAGAATACTCTACAGCCATAAAAAAGAATGAAATACTGTCATTGGGACAACATGAATGAATCTGGAGGAAATTAAATTAAGCGAAATAAGCCAGGCACAGAAGAGTAAATAACCTCATGCTCTCACTTACACGTGAAATCTAAAAATTTGATCTTATAGGCATAGAGAGTGCAATAGTGATTACAGAGGCTGGGGAGGTTAGTGGGGTTGGAGGGGATGAGGAAACGCTGGCCAAGGTAAACATAAATACAGTTATATAGGAGTAATAAATTCAAGAGATCTATTATATGGCATGGTAACTATGACAATTTATTATATTCTCGAAAAACATAAAGACAGTGGAAGTTAGGCACTCTCACTGCAAAAGTGATAACTATATAAGGTAACACCATTTAGCTAGTCCATATGTATATATACTTGAAAGCATCGTGTTGTACAAGATAACACATACAATGTTATTGATCAAATTTACTTTAAAAATAATCTTTAAAAAGTGGGGGAACAGACGGATCAAAACTCCTGTGATATGAAAATGTCTGGTATATTTGAGGAACTGCGCAAAACCCAGTGAGATTTAAACAGAACCATCAAATAGACAGGGGATGACAGAAAGAAAAGTTGCAGAAGCCTAATTATTTAGGGCTTTATAAGCCTTCACTCCTAGCAACATGGAAGGGTTGTGAGAAAAAGAATGTGACGATCTGTTCTATGCTTAGTCAGATCACTCTAGTAGCTGTGATGAAAATAAATTACAGGGGAGTGAGGGCAGAGAGCCCCTTTAAAAGGTTATGTAAATGATCCAGTAACATAGTGGTGTCTTGGACCAGGGGGTTAACTGTGTGTAAGTAGTTAGAATAGTCAGATTGTAGATATACTTTGAAAGTAGACCTAGGATTTGCTGATTTAATTTGTCATGTGATAGAGAGAGCGATATCTAGTATGACATCACGTTTTCATCCTGAGCAAGTTACTAAGACAAGCAAGGATCAGATGACATAAAAGTTCGTATAAATTTTTTCATAAGATTAGGGCTAGTAAAATGTTTGCTCACATGAATTTGTTTCAAAAATTAGAGATCTGTAATCCATCGTGTTTCCTTCTAGGCCTGGTCACTGAAAATAGAATTAAGTTTAACAATTACTCAGCCTAACATTGTTTAGCAAAAAAAATTTCGATAACTTTTTTCATTCTTCTCATTTAATTCTTCATTACTCTAAGTAATGTCTCAAATACATTTGAAATCAATTAGGACAATAAAGAAAGGTCGAACAATAACAATGTTTACTACAATTGTACTCTTCCAGAAATATCAAGGGCCCGTATCCTCTTGAGATTCAATACATTTTATGCAATGTATTTGAATATAACAGATGGAAGAGAGGATTGAGATTTCATAATTTTTTCCTAAAATATTACAAACCTATGAAGAAGAGTTTTCACATCTCTAGTGTAAAAGAATATTTTCTCATATTAACATATTTTTGTAAGTGAATTGTTTTCTTTCAAGCATTTATGGTTTCAGATTTAATTCACTCTGATGTTTATATCAAATAATATCTGAAAACTGTCCAAGGAAAATATATCCCTGTTATATCAGATGTTACTCTTATACTTGCCCAGACTACTGGCAAGGCATACAGTAATTGAGGCTCTGGGATGGTACAGAGAGCATCTCTTGATATAACACACACTGTAATTATAGCAAGAATGACAAATATGAGACTGACAATAAAGCAATATTTGAAACCCATGTAAACTAAAATGCTTCTAAACCTCATTGCCATGAAGAAGATAAAAAAGAGAAATAGTAGGCAGCCCAGGTAGCCTCAACTTTGGCAAAATAATAATATACGTGTGTGTATATGTATATACACACATGCACACACACACACACACACATGCTTGTATATGTTAAGATCAGATCACAACTTAACTCTGGATTTCAGATTTAAAGACAACTTCCTCTTTGGCTTCTTGGGAAAATTTCACATAGAGACTCACTGTAGTTGAGGACTGTTTGAAAATTTCATGAAAAATCTCGCAAATAGGGTACCAATCTATTTATACACATAATTTTTACTATAGCAATTTTGTATTAGCAATATTATAAAAGATACCTAAGAGAGAAGGACATCATTTTCTATTCACGTACCAAAAGTAACTAACTTAATTTTCTGCATAGTATCCTTCGGGCTTTGTTTATACACATATATAATTTGTATTCTTATGATTATAGTAGATGTATTTTATATTTTTTAAACTTAACATTTTATTATAAGCATATTTACATGTTCGTACGTAGCCTCAATCAATTATAATATAAACATTACATATTATTTGAGTATTTCTACAATGCCTTCATTATGTCATTTTCTAATATTAATCATTAATATTGTCTCTGTTTTGCAAAGATGGAAAATGCTCAAAATACTAAAACTGGGTGCATATATATTTTTCTTCTTTGAATTAAGAGAATTGCTAAATGAAACATATATGTTATGGTTCATCTTACTATAATTATTTTCAAAAATAATACTTCTTCCTCATATGAATATGTATGTGTGTGTCGATATATTATATATATACATATATATGTGTGTGTGTGTGTGTGTGTGTATATATATATATAAAATTCCTTATTTTTAGTCATGCTCATGCCAGATTGGACCAGAGACTTTTTGAGTTTACTAATTTAATAATTATAAAATAATTCATTTGATTATTTAAGTATTTTTCACATAGAACTTCACTATTAATGGCAGTCTAATAATAGAAGTTATTCTATTCCAGTATTTTGTATGCATTCAACTCTAATAATTTTGACTTCCTGAATAGGCACATATTTACCCATTTCCCAAATGCCTAAGAATACGTATGAACCTTGGTTTCATCTGTGTATACTGTTAACTGACCTTTGCTGATACATTTTCCTGATGCAGTTACCAGTTCTCTCTTTGAGATTTTAGTTGGTCCTCTAAATTAAAATAAGCTATGATTTAAATTCCTGAGAGTGAGTGACAGAAACCCTGCTGATGCTTAACAGGGACTCACACTCTTAAATTAAAAGTGAAAATTTTTCTTCCCCACATCCTTTGAACTATAATTACATGTAGGGATTGCTACTGTGTTTGCTAAGAGCATGCCCAGAAGACACAATGGGTAATGATCTGCATAGAGAACCAGATCTTAAACTAAGACTAATGTTCATTCTGTCACTGAGAAAGCTTTTGTTGAGTCCCTGCTGGGTAAAAGCTCAGCATGTTGCTGCTAAATCTCTAGTAACCAGAGGCAGTTTTCCTAATATGATGATATTTCAGGTTTTCCGTAAGCAAGTGAGGATTTTTACAATCTTAGTATTCTCTTACATTGTTTTGAAATATCTGCATTTAAATGATTTTATAAAAGTTAGGATAGCCTGGTTTGTGCAACAAGAATAGTATCATTTATCTTCTCATTGTCCAAGAGGATATTCTATGTCACCATGTTTTTGTATAACATCATAGAAGGAGATATTTAGATTAAAGCTTCAATTTTTCAATGTTTTTGTGTTAATAGAGTAACTGGACCAGAATTAAGGACAAAAAATCTAGGGAGAAACACATTTTTGGGGATTATTGAAAATAAGGGTAGGCTTCATATTTGGAGCTTCCTGGTTATTCATATTTCAATATGAGTTGCAGTTTGGTTGGTGTGAAGTTCTGGGTTTGGTTGGCATAAAGCAGATTTTGTATTATGGAGAAGGCAACACAGTGAGCTTAGAGAAGCTGGCCCACCCCATCCCTCAGATCAGAGGAAATAACTTCAAGTCTCAGCTGGCTGGCATTAGGATCAATGGCCTTCATTACTGGCTGGCATAGTAGCCTATGTGTAGAATGTGAATTAATCCTAGTTACGCAGTGCTGGGGAACCAGGACCAGGGTCAAAGCAGTGAGGTTTGGCTGTTTAGTGTTTACTTATTTAGCTGCTTTTAAAGTAAATTATAAATTAATAAATTTCTGACTCTACACATCACCAAGATGTGGCATTATCACACACACACACATGCGCGTGCACGCGCACACACACACACACACATATGCATACATACATGTCATGCATAAATATATATATATATATATACATAAACATGTATATGGCATTCTGTAAATGCATATAAGGATGTTTTCAACTCTAATTCCGAAACTTAAAAAATCAAGTACATAAAGTTTCTTAAAGTAACTACAATATAGCTTATAACCCTCCATTTTGTATAAGTGAAAGCAGTTACTAGTTGAGGCTATATACTTTCTAGCCTCCTTTTCTGATAATAATCATGATCCTTATATCAAGTAACACTTATTGACGACTTTCAATGCCACAGACACTTAGACATTCTAAGCATTTAACATGCATTAACTCTATTATTCTGTATAACAAAGCTACAAATTAGAAACTACAATTTTCCTTCATTTTATAGATGAAAGATCCGATATATGAAGTGGCCAAGTAACTTATCCAAGATTACACAGCAAGTGACAGGGCCAGGATATCCAACCCCCCAAAATAATTCCAGAGTATTATGGTAACAACCTGTTTTTATTTAAAAATAAATAAAAAATCAAAAACAAAAAAACTTTATTTTAAATATTCACTACAGATATAGTAATTGGTTTATTTAATCTAAAACCAATGTATGCTATGGCCTGTAATGCTATTATGAAAAGGAAAAAGGAGAATAAATAGGCAAATGGAATAAGGTTTATATTTCTCGATAAAGTATCCATGCAGCAAGCACATAGAGAAAAGAAAATGCGAGTGTTTGGGAGCAAATTTTTTAGATACAGACATTATTTTAAATTTAGTAAAGTATTTCTAATCATTTTCTGCTTTGTGTTGTATATATTTATAATCCTTTATTGCACTGATGTATTATTATAAGATATGGAAAAAAATTCTTTAGATGCTTCTTTACTTTTTTTTCTATCGATAGAATTCCAAAATCTATCTTACATTTTGGTCTGTTAGTATGTCGCAAGGTAAAAATATTTATAGTCATGTAAGCAATTATACTTCTCCTGATCTGGTTAATCTGTTCTGTATCTTTTTTTTTTTAATAAATTTCTTATTTTTCACTTTCTGGTCTTTTTCCTTTCTTCATCAAGTCCCGTGCCTTGTATTTAATTTCATAATTGGAAGTCAAATTCCAAGGGCATTTTCCACCACAAAATAAGCTCCTAAAAGATATTAGTTATTGTTTCATAATTGTTTTGGCCTGAAAAGGAAAACATTGGGTAACAAGGGTAACTGCTGGATCAGTTCTCTAAATTGCAACTAGAGAACGCTAAATATGTTTTGTGCATGTTGATAATTGACACATTGTAGGCAGGTGTAGCTAAGGAGCCGGAAGGGAAGAAGCAAAATGAGGAAACAGTGAGAGCACAACTGGGGTGCAGAATGACAGTGCCAGGAAGCAACAAGGAAGCATTATTGGGGAGAATCTGTTTTATGGGCCAATTTGTAGTTGTCAAAAATAGAGCCGCGTATTAGTAATAGCAGAGCATAACAAAAGGACTCTGGCTTCCTGGAATAAAGCCTGCCTCCTTTCTCTCCATTTTGAAAACAGTGATTCAGACAATGTTAATGAGATTTTGAAGACTTTTAGCCTGGGTGCATGATCTATGAGCTTTAATGTTTGCTCAGTATCAGCTGTATTGAATTATTCTTCTTGCTTCAACTTTATCCAACAAAATAATACAAATTCCTAGGGGTGCTAGACATGCTCTGCCCCCCCCCCAAAAAAGCACATTTTTCTAAGCAATAGAGACCTTTCATCAACAGGAATGTTCATAATTACCTATGAATTCCCATGTACAAAAAAATATTTTCAAGAAATGGTCACTCGGCCACTGTTATTTCCTCTACCATCCTGTAGTACAGAAGAAACAAGTTGCCTTACAGTAGTGCTTTTCAACTTATTAAAGACTTATTCTTGTAATCCCAGGACTTTGGGAGGCCGAGGTGGGTGGATCACTTGAGGTCAGGAGTTCAAGACCAGCCTGGCCAACATGGCGAAACCCCGTCTCTACTAAAAATACAAAAATTAGCCAGGCATAGTGGCGTGCACCTGTAATCCCAGCTACTAGGAAGGCTGAGGCAGGAGAATCGCTTGAACCAGGGAGGTGGAGGGTTCAGTGAGCCAAGATCGCACCACTGCACTCCAGCCTGGGCAACAGAGCAATACTCTGTCTCAAGAAAAGAAAAAAAACGTATTATTACATCACAATTGGTGGGGCCACTCCTGGAGTTTCTGATTCAGGAAGTCTGGGATAGAGCCTGAGAATTTACATGTTAACAAGTTTCTAGGTAATAGCAATGATGATGCTAGTCACTGGATCATATGTTTTGCATCACTGCCCTGCAGGCTGTTCTGTGACAAGCAGTTCAATCAATTAAAGCAGCAGTCTGATGAAGCTTAATCACAGGTTTCTAAAAATCATCGGGGAGCAGGAATTCTAAATCTTGTTCTTTATTTAACAGATGAGGGTCATTGGTTATAAAGTTGAGCTACAGAGTGTGGCAGACAATTATCAGTCAATAACCATTATTTTAAAAAGGACTCAGAGCACATGCTCTATAATTATGAATCAATTGTATCATCTTCACATAGAAAAGGTTGCACATTATAGTGAATGAACCCCATGGGGCACTAATGCCCAATTGTTGGCTGAACTATTATGGTTTATTTTTCAATTATTTTTCCCTAATCTTGGAAAAAGAAATATTTTCTTTCTCCATATTAAGGAAAAGGGCTTTGACATTTTGGCATTTCCGTATTTTCTGTATCACTGTGCTTTCTCCACTTTAATTAAAATAATCTAAAAGTATTCATAGTATACCTTATAAATTTTTCACAATCATAAATCTCACTTATATTCTTAGCAAGTATTTAATAAGTTCATATAATTATCTTGAAAACTAGGTGGTTGTTTTTGTCATTATTTAATGGTAGGTTTTACCGTGTCTCTCTTTCCTTGTTTCCCCAACACACAAGCCCAGAGTTCAGTTTAATCTTATTTATTCTATATTCTAGACTGTTGTCAGGTCCTATTTATCCTTTTTCAGTTGATCTATAATATTTTATTTTTCTTCTATTTTCTCCAAACCTTCTCACTCTTATCTAAAATTGTGCATATTGGAACTCCTTTACCCAATTCTTGATAAGTTTAGCAACAAAATAAAAATAAAGATGGTACCAGTGTTTCATGTTCCCCCAGATTTGATCTTTGGTAGAGAGAAATGCCTATCACATTATTAATTAGTTTCATGTAGCAAACAGATTTTTTTGGCCTTTCATTTTAACCTTTTTTTGGCTGACATTGAGAATACAACTGTTTCTTTAGTTGGATTGAATTGGCCAATCCATTTGCAAGTAAAATTGTGCATAAGAAGGCAAAACCTTATTCCAGTGCTAAATCATTGAAACATGTTTTCATTTCCAGTTGTCTAGGGTAAACTTCAAGCTATGACTTCTACATTTTAAATGTTAACTCTTTGATTCTAGTAACAACTATTTCAAAATATAGTTTTTAATCACAAAGCCCAGAAGCTAAAACAAGATAGTTCATACATATACACATTTATCTTTATTTTACTGCCTAGAAATCTGCCCCATGGAAAGCAATATTTGCTGATTTATTTTATCATTTTGTTATAAAAAATTGCCTGGTTTATCCAATCTGTCTTATGAATACTTTATCCCAAAAAATACAAAAGTAATGAAATACCACAGAAGTTATTTTTAATAAAGCAGTAGGTTATTGTATTAACTTGTTTTTATAATTTATTTTGAAATAATTTCAAAGATTCAGAATAATTTTAAGAACTGCACACATTTTCCCATATGTCTCTAAGTTCCCTAATTGTTAATATGTTACCGTCTCTCTCCCCTCATTCCCATTATTGAGCTGTAAATATATTGTCCATTTGTTCACAAGCACACTGAAATGTATCTCCCATAAACAAGGACACTCTTATTTGTTACATCTCTTCAGTGATACCAATCAGGACATCATCTTCAATAGCCACACTGCCATCCAGATCAGGAAAGCCAATTAAAGTCACCAACTGTCATGCATTCTATCAGGTTGTCATGTCTCTTCAGTCTAGTCTCCTTCAATCCTGAACAGATCTTCAGCCTTTTCCTGTCTTTCATAATGTAGACAGTTGTGAAGAATACAGACATTTAATTATGTAAGATGATCATCAATCAGGGTCTATCCAATACTGCCTTATGACCAGGCTCAGGCTGTGTCTTGGACTGGAGCATCATTGAAGTGGTATGTTCTCAGGACATCACATCAGGAGGCAAATTATATTGAACCATCCCCTTGCTGGTTATGTTAACCTTGATCGTCTGGTCAAGTTATTCTTTGCCAGGTTTCTCTAAAGTGGCTGTTTCCCTTTTTAATTATTTTGTGAGGTAATACTGTAAAACTATGTCAATATTCTGTTCTTAATTATATCCATCCTCCAGTCCTAGCATCTGCTAGCAACTCCTGCATATCATCACAATCATGGTTGGCAAATGGTAAAGCGCATTTTGATGGTCAAATTTCCCCAGATTTGACCAGTGGATTCTCTTCAAAACGGCTCCTATGTTGTTCTGGCATGTTCTCATCTTCTTTGAACATTTCCTTATGTTTGCCACAAAATGCTCCAGGCTCATCCTGTACTTTTCTTAACCCGGCTCTGGAGTCAACCACTTTTCTAAGGAGCTCTGGTTTTTTTCAGTGGAGGATGGTATTTAGAAAC